>NC_000006.12:27938787-28241818 GCF_000001405.40 Homo sapiens
TTGTGCCACTGCACTCAGTCTGGGTGACAGAGCAAGACCCTGTCAGAGAGAGAGAGAGAGAGAGAGAGAGAGAGAGAAGAAAGAGGAAAGAAAGAAAGAAAGAAAGAAAGAAAGAAAGAAAGAAAGAGGAAAGAAAGAAAGAAAGCAAGAGTGTAAAAAATGTAATATTCCTCCTGAGTTGACAATCACTTGTATTCCTTTCAAGTCCTTCTAAATCAAGCATTCATCACCAGAAGCCTCCAAAATATTGTTCGTGAATGTAGACACTAGGCATTTTTGTTCTCATACCAGTTTCTATCACAGTTATTTAATAGGTCCTCAACGATGTATGAAAAGAAAGATCTTAGAAGGACTTAGTAGGTCCTCAGCAATATATGAAACGAAAGATCTTCGAAGTCTTGCTGAAGAAGCACTTATTTTTTTCTAGAAAGTTCAAATATGCTTTTATAGTGCCAAATGCTTGAATGAGAGCCAAAATAAATTGTTTAATTATCCAGCTTTAGTATATCCAACACCATAATCAACCGTGGATTCTGCACATTTTGAATCATTTATATAATTGAGCTTAATGACATTCATGTTTGATTTTCTGAGATGATAGAGAATCAAGAAGAAAGGAGATAAAGCAAGACCATGAGGTGTTTGCTTTATGTGGAAGGAAGAATTTCTTGTTACTACTCAATCCTTGTTATTACTTGTTAATGGCAAAAGAAAGCTAAGGAGTCTTTTTGATTAAAATGTTTGAAGATAATTCCGTCTCCACTTTTCCCATATGTTATCAGGATAACCTTGAATAGAGGCAGAGAGAAATGAGATTAATTCTGGGGGACTGTTAGAATCTTTATGATTGGGTTATTCCCCAAGTGTTGATTTCTTCACATTTACATTAATGATAGCAGTACCTCAATAGTCATCAGGGAAATTGATTTGAATGGTTCGTGTCAAATAATGGATGTCCACCTTAAAGGTAAGTATGTTTCTTCAGATCTGACATATCATTTGAATCAATCTTATCTCAAAACTTGGGAAAACATCTATTATGTTAAAATTTCTGCAAATGAATAAGGGATTCCAAAATTTGGGAGTATTGCCAGCAGCATCATTAGGAACTGGATACAAAATGGGTCTAGCAATTTCTCATTTAAACTCCCTCAAAAATTTTAAGAAAGGTCAGGTTAATCTAGAAGCCTTAGAAAATGTACCACATAGCTAATGTATTTTCCTCAAAATATGTAACTGTCAGATATAATGTGCATATTTACCACTTTTTGAGCCCTAACTCTTATATTTTATCTGGTGGATTACATTATATTTTATTTAGATTAGTTAGGGTTTATGAGAACGGGGTTTTGGTTTGATTTGGATTGTGGAAGATATTCTGTTATTTCCATAAAAAGGCAGAAAAATTAGAATATGTTTGATTTTTCCTACTTTATTACACGGAGTGAAATATGATATTTGTCCATGATAATGTTTATCAAAGGGATCAATTCAGCCAACAGAATTTGGAGACCCACAGCTTAGCATTTTCCATCTCTTCTACTAGAAAACAATTTATGTGTCTTACTAGCATGTATATACTATACATTTCTAAATAAATAAAAATCCTTTTAGAATCATTCTCTAAAAACAATGATTACATTAATTTTTTATAATCTCCATACTGTTTAGACATGCATTACTTTAGAATTAATAGGTAGGACAGAAGATTAAAAAAACAGTATAAATCTCAAAAATACATTGATTTTGGAAGCACCCTGTGGAATTTCTGACTCATTTTCTTCAAAATTTTATTTTTTCTCCACAAGCTTTATGTTAATTACACTCTCCTCTAAAAAACTTAGAACCATTATTATAGGTTTTAGGGAATAATGAGTGTCAGGTCTCAGGGGAAAATGTCACTATGTCCTTAATAACATCCTCATGGCCCAGCATCACCTTTTACTTAATTTGTAGGATAGTTTATAAAGTTGATATAGTTTACTTAGGCATAAAGTGGGATGAATCAAATATATTCTAATAGTTCTGCCTTCTCATGGGAATCACATAATACTGCCCATAATTTAAAAAAGTATCAGAAACATTTCATTTTTATTCTCTACAGGTTCTTCCTTTTGCTAATCTATGACTCATTCTTACAGTCTGGTCTTTTACAGAGACAGAGCAGATGGAGGTTCAGATAGAAGAGCATCAGGATCCTACTCACTGTGCACAATTGCATATCTCTTAGCCATGGTGCTGAAAGTAACTCCAGGAGAAATAAATATTACATACATGCCTCTGTGCGTGTTTTTCTACTCACTGTGATTTTAAATTATGATCTATAAGAGGACAGCTCAATAAGTGCCTATTAATCAGATTAGCACATCACTTTCCATCTTGTTGTCTTGATGGGTAGTACAACAGCCATGAAGACAACTTTCACCTATTTCATATTTTGTCCATTTTCAAGGTTTTCTTCCTCATTTATCCATTCAGCAAATATATATTAAGCACCTACTACGCCCCAGGCATTGTTCTAGGTACTGGAACAAAATACACAAAAATACACACCCACAAAAAAATCATCATAGCATTGAGTTTGCATTCTAGTGGAGAAGAAAGAAAACTGACAAATAAGAGAAACATGATAGTAATACCTTTGTAAGTGTTATGACGATAAGTATAACAGGGAAGGGTGGAAGGAATTACAGAAGGGCTGCAATTTCAAATGGAGGAAGTCAGGGAAGACCTTAGAAAGTATGTTCAAGCAAAGACCTGATGGAGATAAGAAAGCACATCTGTGGGAGAGTGATCCCAGCAAAGGAAGTAGCGAGCACAGTATTTTTTATCTCAGGAAAATGAAGAAGAACCAGAGAAAGGGGTTGAGTGAGCAGGAGGAAGATCAAGACCAGGTGTATCCTGAAAGAGCAGAAAGTGTTTCCAGAAGGAAGGAGTGATCAACTGTCTAATATGTGACTGGTAGGTCAATTGAGATTAGAAGTTTCATGCTGTAAATGGGAATCATGTATATGCAATTCCTAGGAGAAAGATTTGTAAAGCCCCCTTCACATGATGTGTGATTTCATAAGCTCCTCCTAGTTAATTCCACTCCTATCATCATAATACACTCCATCCAATAATAAGCAGTCAGGCCTGGTATCGGAAGTCAATATCTTAAGTTTGTCCTCAGGGTTTTTCACTAGTTACCTTATGGTCTCCACCTGACCCTTTGGTGTGGTATTGCATGCAGCTCCAGCCTATCAACACTCAGAGAGTTCTCACCTGGAGCCAGGCATACAGAGTCTAAGGAAAAATCACGCTGCTCCAAGCCACTCTGCCTTCCCCCAAATCTGATATATATATGTCAAAAATAAAGTTAGCTTTGAGGTTATATAGATCCGCAGAGAGAAGGGCCAAGTGTTTAAGAACATGGGCTTCCTTGAATAATTGGAATTCCATCTCTACTTTAGATTTAACTTCTCCATACTTCAGTTTCTTCATTTAAAAATGTGAATAATAATATTGCCATTCTCCAAGGGCTATTTTGATGTTTAAATGAGTTAATACATGAAAGCATTTAGAATGGTTCCTGGCATGTTGTAAGCACAATGTACATGTTTATAGTGTTGTCACAATATATAAAACATGGTAGAGATAAAGACCGTTAGAACAGTATTAGCCTGAAATAAGTTGATAATAAGTTCAGATGGAAAAACAAAAAATGAAAGAATAGCTAAGAAGACACTGAAAAGTAAAAACCATGAAGGAGCACCGGCCCTTCCAAACATTATCATGAAGCTCTATAGTTAAAATAACGTGGTACTAGTGCGTGACTACACCAGTGGAATAGAATAAAAAGCCCAGAATTAGATCCAAATATATATGGCAATTCAGTATATGACAAAGATGGTATCTGAAATAACTAGGTAAAAATAGAATTATTTTTATTGGTGCAGGATCATCTAGATCATCATTAAAAAACATAAGATCCTTTCCTTACACCCAATACAAGAATAAACCCCAGATGAATTGGGGATCTAGATAAAATTGAAAACATAAAAGTATCAAAAGGAAATGGATGAATTCCCCTTGATGATTGGCTAATTTGTCTACACATTTAAAAAGTGGCAAAAATATTGTAAATGAAGTCAAAATGCAACAGACAAAAATAGGAGAAAATATTCACAATGTCTAGCACAAAGGGCTAATATCTCTAATATGTAAAGAACCATTGAAGGAAGAAGAGCCAAATATCAAATAGAAAAATGGAGAAGTGAAGCAATCAACAAACCAGACAAAAAATTATTCTCACCATATGAAAAAATTTAAATGCATGTATAATTAGACAGGCACAAATTAAAACAATATTGAGATACAATTTCTCACTTATTAGACTGGCATTAAAAATATTAGCATGTTCTTTTAGTGAAGCTCTGTGGAAACAGGAGTTCTCATGGCCAGCAAGAGCTGAACTGAGCTGCCAGTTGTGGGAGAAGTCAATTAAAACAACAGCCAAGGAGGAGGAGCCAAGATGGCCGAATAGGAACAGCTCGGGTCTACAGCTCCCAGCGTGAGCGACACAGAAGACAGGTGATTTCTGCATTTCCATCTGAGCTTTGAAGAGAGCAGTGGTTCTCCCACCACGCAGCTGGAGATCTGAGAACGGGCAGACTGCCTCCTCAAGTGGTTCCCTGACACCTGACCCCAGAGCAGCCTAACTGGGAGGCACCCCCCCAGCAGGGGCACACTGACACCTCACAAGGCAGGGTATTCCAACAGACCTGCAGCTGAGGGCCCTGTCTCTTAGAAGGAAAACTAACAAACAGAAAGGACATCCACACCAAAAACCCATCTGTACATCACCATCATCAAAGACCAAAAGTAGATAAAACCACAAAGATGGGGAAAAAACAGAACAGAAAAACTGGAAACTCTAAAAAGCAGAGCGCCTCTCCTCCTCCAAAGGAACGCAGTTCCTCACCAGGAACGGAACAAAGCTGGAGGGAGAATGACTTTGACTAGCTGAGAGAAGAAGGCTTCAAACGATCAAATTACTCTGAACTACGGGAGGACATTCAAACCAAAGGCAAAGAAGTTGAAAACTTTGAAAAAAATTTAGAAGAATGTATAACTAGAATAACCAATACAGAGAAGTGCTTAAAGGAGCTGATGGAGCTGAAAACCAAGGCTTGAGAACTACGTGAAGAATGCAGAAGCCTCAGGAGCCGATGCGATCAACTGGAAGAAAGGGTATCAGCAATGGAAGATGAAATGAATGAAATGAAGTGAGAAGGGAAGTTTAGAGAAAAAAGAATGAAAAGAAATGAGCAAAGCCTCCAAGAAATATGGGACTATGTGAAAAGACCAAATCTACGTCTGTTCATATCCTTTGCCCACTTTTTGATGGGGTTGTTTGTTTTTTTCTTGTAAATTTGTTTGAGTTCATTGTAGATTCTGGATATTAGCCCTTTGTCAGATGAGTAGGTTGCAAAAATTTTCTCCCGTTTTGTAGGTTGCCTGTTCACTCTGATGGTAGTTTCTTTTGCTGTGCAGAAGCTCTTGAGTTTAATTAGATCCCATTTGTCAATTTTGGCTTTTGTTGCCATTGCTTTTGGTGTTTTAGACATGAAGTCCTTGCCCATGCCTATGTCCTGAATGGTAATGCCTAGGTTTTCTTCTAGGGTTTTTATGGTTTTAGGTCTAACGTTTAAGTCTTTAATCCATCTTGAATTAGTTTTTGTATAAGGTGTAAGGAAGGGATCCAGTTTCAGCTTTCTACATATGGCTAGCCAGTTTTCCCAGCACCATTTATTAAATAGGGAATCATCCTTTCCCCATTGCTTGTTTTTCTCAGGTTTGTCAAAGATCAGATAGTTGTAGCTATGCAGCGTTATTTCTGAGGGCTCTGTTCTGTTCCATTGATCTATATCTCCGTTTTGGTGCCGGTACCATGCTGTTTTGGTTACTGTAGCCTTGTAGTATAGTTTGAAGTCAGGTAGCATGATGCCTCCAGCTTTGTTATTTTGGCTTAGGATTGACTTGGCGATGCAGGCTCTTTTTTGGTTCCATAAGAACTTTAAAGTAGTTTTTTCCAATTCTGTGAAGAAAGTCATTGGTAGCTTGATGGGGATGGCATTGAATCTATAAATTACCTTGGGCAGTATGGCCATTTTCACAATATTGATTCTTCTTACCCATGAGCATGGAATGTTCTTCCATTTGTTTGTATCCTCTTTTATTTCCTTGAGCAGTGGTTTGTAGTTCTCCTTGAAGAGGTCCTTCACGTCCCTTGTAAGTTGGATTCCTAGGTATTTTATTCTCTTTGAAGCAATTGTGAATGGGAGTTCACTCATGATTTGGCTCTCTGTTTGTCTGTTATTGGTGTATAAGAATGCTTGTGATTTTTGTACATTGATTTTGTATCCTGAGACTTTGCTGAAGTTGCTTATCAGCTTAAGGAGATTTTGGGCTGAGACAATGGGGTTTTCTAGATATACAATCATGTCGTCTGCAAACAGGGACAATTTGACTTCCTCTTTTCCTAATTGAATACTCTTTATTTCCTTCTCCTGCCTAATTGCCCTGGCCAGAACTTCCAACACTATGTTGAATAGGAGTGGTGAGAGAGGGCATCCCTGTCTTGTGCCAGTTTTCAAAGGGAATGCTTCCAGTTTTTGCCCATTCAGTATGATATTGGCTGTGGGTTTGTCATAGATAGCTCTTATTATTTTGAGATACGTCTCATCAATACCTAATTTATTGAGAGTTTTTAGCATGAAGTGTTGATGAATTTTGTCAAAGGCCTTTTCTGCATCTATTGAGATAATCATGTGGTTTTTGTCTTTGGTTCTGTTTATATGCTGGACTACATTTATTGATTTGCATATATTGAACCAGCCTTGCATCCCATAGCAGCTTCTGTGTGGTGTAATATATGACACAACCAATGCAGTCATAATCATTTACCCACTGCCATACTTTCTTCACTGAAAAGTTCTTCACTGCATTATTCCTTACAAAATGTTACATGAAATCTCATGCCACTCTAGTATAAACCACCAGATAGTAAAGAAGGTTGAAACCTTATAGGCAAGAAAGATAGGCTCATACCTAGCATATTCTTGTCTATACTTTTCAAAATAAATTGCTGCCTCTTCTGATTTGGAAAGGGTCTAAGGTGGTAAACTTGTCTCCAATTTGGTCACCAACTTGCTAGATCAGTTTCGATAAGAGGGAGCCAGTGATGTTCGGTCCACACATTGCCTCCATCTCTTTTACCAGAACTACTGCATTTACAACTCCGTTGTGCCAGGACTGGGATGGTTAATGATAGAGGCTGGCTGATGCCAGCTAGCTTAGGCAACTACCCAGATGTTGAGTCCATCTTCCATAATGGATATTCCCTCATGGACATTAAGGTGCAATGCAAAGTTCTTCGCACTTATACTAACTTCCATGTAAACATCTACATATCCCTGTTTCAGACAAATTGGTCTCAGATCTTCCATTCTTGCTCCTTAATTAATCAGCCAGGCCATTTTGTACCTCCCATTATATTCTTTCTTGGGTCACTTCTTTTTTCACACACAGAAATAGATGGCCAAGTTCACTTCCCAGAGTTCTGCCCATTGGGAAGATTTCTCACCAGTGTCTTTAGGACCACTCATGAGTGGTGTTGTAGTGTAACAGCAATCCATTTTCAGCTCCTGTTAACACATTGGGCTGGCTCATCTATGAGCTATGTATGAGCTTTCTTCTCTACTGCAGGCTAGTTATTGGCCACCCCCAATCTCTGCCACAGACAGACATAGAAATGAACTGAAGGAGAGGTCCCAATGCAAAAAAGATGACATATAAGACCAGGCTACCTGCTCATGAAGCTTACTTAGACTGCCAGCCTTGCTTGTGCCCTGTCCAGGATATACCATTTCCATCTAATATTGCATTGCCAACGGCCCACCCAATCTTATGATTTGATGAATCTGGATGCAACCCAGCTCATGATGGGCAGTTCTTGCCTCATAGTTACTTGACGTCATGTGGTCAGACTCTGTAACTCTACAGGTGCCTAATAGCATGCCATAAACTGGTTTTACAAACATTTATAGTTCTCTATTTCAGATAACTTTAAGAACCCTAAGGGTCTGCACTACAATTCTACTATTGGAGTTTAACCTGTGGCTTCACATGATGCCTAGAGTTGTGGAATACTATAATTATGTTGCAGTCTGGAATTTCTAAAGAGCCTTTTCCTGTTCTGGGGCCCACTCAGAGATGGAAACCTTCCCTATTGGTAAATAGGTTGGAGGAGTATCCAAAATGCATTTATAGCTGAGGCTGCAACTCGGAAAATCTTATGGGGAGCTTAGGAGCTAGGCTGGCCTTTCAGAGTTTTCCCAATAGAAGCAAAGAAGATGAGTCTTTGTAAACTGTGGAGGAGGTAAAACCTTGGCCAAGGCATTTCCCTATGGCCAAAGAAATTTCTAGGGATGATTCATCAGTCATCAGTATCTTAGGACCTTGGGGATGAGTACCTTGGCCCTGAAGATGTTATCTGGGTGGAGCACCGTGGTATCTATTAGAGTGGGTCTGCGGATAAGAGGAGCTGCATCCAAATGCAATGCTGGTCATAGGATCCTGGACTTTGAGCATGATGCCATGATTGGACAGACTTTTAGGGATCTTGGAAAGAAGTAAGCATATTTCTTATATGAAAAGATTGTTAACTATGATAGATTGATTATAAAAATATTTCTAATTCTATAGCCCTCTCTGTGTTTATGCCACTTACAATGTAACTTTGTAGCATCTCCCATCAAGAAGTAAAGTCTATTCCCTGAGCCCTTGAATCTGAATTGTTTTGTGACTTCTTTGGTCCACAGAATATGCCAGAGGCTTTGCCTGCTTCCAACTCTCTTTCATGCTTCTCCAATTTTATCTTGAGAACATGCTCAGGATAGCAAAGTGAAAAATGACATACACTGAGTAGAGCTATTTTAGCCCAGTTTTCTTTCTCAACTGATGCTTCAGCCAAGGCTAGTAAAATTATTGTGCCAAACTGTATTGTCCACAGACACATGAATGAGACCTGAGGAGCTGAACCACTCAGCTAAACCAGGGACTTCTAAGCAAAAATAAGTATTTTTGGATGTCCCAGGGATTTTGTGGTTATTTCTTCCATAGTATTATATTGAAAATAGATAGCAGATACAATTTATGACTCCTTTTGTAGGGCCACCATAATTTAAATACCAAATCTGATAAGGACATTGCAAGAAAGGAAAACTAGGGACCAATCTCTTGTGAGCCTAGATATAAAAATCCTAAACAATTTTGTTAACCAATTTTATCTAGTGTTATACAAGAAGTATAGCATATTGCACTCGTGTTGTTTATCGCAGGATAGAGTGGTGTAACATCTGAAAATCATTTCGTACTATTTATCAATTTTTTAAAAAAATTTGGCAAATCTCTACAGATTTGGACAAAGCATTTGATAAAATCAAACCCCTATTTAAATCTTAGCAAACTAGGAATACAGTGAAAACTCACTTAAGCTGATGAAGAATACTTACAAGAAACCTGCAGCAGACATCATACACAACTATAAGGTATTGAATGAGACACAGAGGCCCACAATCATCACTTCTTTTTGGCATTATACTGATGGTCCTAGCTTGTGTAATAAGACAAGAAAAATAAATAAAATACACTAGAAATGGAAAGAAGTATAATTATCATTTTTTTCCCAATGACATGATTGTGTGTGTTCAAATGCAAAAGAGTCTACAAAGAAACTATTAGACTAATTAAATGCGTTCATGAAGGTCACTGGAAAACAGATCAATGCACAAAAATCAATTGTATCTATACATATCAGCAACAGATAAATAGTAAAATGAAATGGGGAGACAATTTGATCAAGATTTTGTGACAATAAAAATGACAGATTTTACTACAGGAGGTATTTTTAAAAGGAAGCCTCAAAAGAACACTTTTATCTTTGTACTCAAATAACTTCTTTTTGATAATTGCAGCATCAAATTAAGTGAATCACTAATTTGACTGTCCTGTTTTGAAGGAAACCTTATTGTTGTCTTCGGTTACTCCAGATATTTCTCTTATCACGTGATCTTACTATTCACTGTTTTAAAATCATTATTCTTATGAATTTCAGTATGGAAGGTTTTTATAATTGTAGAATTTCAGCATCTCCCCACACCACCCTCATTTCCTCTTAATGTGAGCCAACATCTTCAGCCTTTTCTGCTGTTATAGAATTTCTTTTACAGAAAATACAACTGGCTCACCTGCCTTATTGACATAGAATTTGATTCTAATTTTCAGCAAATTTGCAAGACAGAATTTTATATAAAACATTATGTTCTACCTCATTACTTTTCCTTTCCACAGTGCATTCATCATATATATACATGAAAGAACTTATTTCCACTCAATAATTTTTGCAAAACATTCAGTGCAAAGAATAACATAAAGTATATTTCAACCAAATATGGGCATCAGAATGAGATAAATATTGCTAAGGATTTATTCAGCTCCCCCACTAAAACATTCACACATTCCTATGCTTTCACAAACTAGAATACTATTTCTAAGACCACTAAGTTCTGTAAGGTTCTCAATGTCACACTTTTCCAAATTTTCCTATGCATTTGTGTCTAGCTTCCATTCTTGAATCCTTGCTTTTGGGGGCCTAGCTAGACCCTGCCTGAACTCTACATATACCCAATATACAGGTATAAGATACCAAGATTACATTTATGAAAAGGCCTGAATTCTTCCAGAATCATGCCCACTCTAATTTTGGGGGCAGTAATTAAAATTTGTTGAGTCATAATATCAGTTCATGGAAACCCATCTAATCCAAGAATGCTCCAAGTTTTATCTGAGCTTCTACATACTAAACATAATGATGTTGCTGACCTTCCCATCATAAAAGGGAAAATGTAAACTAAGAATGAGGTTTGGGTATCCTACTTTAATTTATACTGCAAATCAGCCTTGCTTCAGAACATGTTAAATTTTTACTTAGTCTCTCAAATATTTAATACTTGGTGTTTCCTAAAGTACTATTAAAACTGTCTTTCTCAATGCTCAGTTCCCTCTTATATACAAAGTTCTTCCTGAGAGCTAAGCCTGACTGATCCAACCCCCAAGGCTAGTCACTAAAATATTACTGTAGCCAAGCCTATTTCATTCTGATATAAGGAGAGGTAATTGATTAGATGGTCAGAAATTAATACACAAAATTATAGTTATATTGTTTCAAGAGATCTTTCACTACTAATCAAGTAAGTGGTCCTCTGGGAAATTAGAGTAAGTGGGGAGTGTTGAGTTTGGCAAGAATCATCCTTAAGCATTAGTCAAAGAGGAGAAATTAAACTTAAACCAAAATGTAGATTCATAGTATATCTAGGCTTTCTAACAAATTATGTTAATTTTGGAAAGTTTGTTTAACCTCTCTAAGCCTCCATTTCCACATTAAAAAAATAAAGATAAAGTGTAGCAATTTTATAGGACATTGTAAGCATAGTAAACATTGATACTATTATTATTAAACTACAGATTCTTCCCTGTTTCCAGTCCCTTTGATAACTGAGCATTATTTCTTAATTTTTCACTTTAAGGACTACTGAATTTTTTTAGTTTATTTACCTTGGTTCACTCTGCAAACTAAAGATTTGTCTTTATTTTCTTATTTGTTTAGCCCTCTGTTTTTTTTTCTTTAAATACTATTGCCTTTATTTAAATTATCTATTGTAAGCATTTATGAGAAAAAAGAAAATCCAACATTATAAACATTTTCCTCTGACTAATCCCGCCCTCACGCTCACTCTTACTTTCAGAGATAAGCACTGTTATTAGTTTGGGAAGGTTTTAAATGCTATACATTATTTTTTGTGGATTACATCTTAGTCTTTTTCCCTGGTTTACTTGATGCCCCTTCCTTCTCCCTTCACAGCTATCAGCCTCTGTGCTCCAGATTGCCCACATGAAGGAGCTAACAAGTGTTCTTTATTCTTCTTCACTCTCGTATAATTCCATGCAGGCGCACAATACATACAGTTATATTGAGAGTGTTTTAGTCATTGTTTATATAATTAAGATCATGTTATTTATTCTTTTTTACATCTTCATTTTCTCACTCAGCAACATCACAGGCAAATACTTCTGGATTAGGTTAATTACTAGTCAATTTCCTATTGAGAAACTAATTTTTTCTCTACTTTGGCCACCACAAACATTGCTACAATAAAAATTATTGTTTCTACGATTTGTGTACCAGTATATTTTATTCCATAGGATAGATTTCCATGAATGCCATTGCTATGTTGATGAACAGAGTATTTTTTTCAAGATTAACTGCCCTATTTATTTCTAAAATGTCAGTGACACTTTGAATTTCTAACCATAATTTATGAGAGGTTTTTTCCTTCAGCAACATTCAGGAGTTACTGCTAGTTACATTGTTTTTTCAATCTGATAAGTGACTCATCATTACTACTTTAATATATTTGTCTGAATATTTGGGAATTTAAAATCTTATATAGATTTGCTATTCTGAGTTCACAGTATGTATATGGTCATATTATTTAGCATTTTTTCAATTGTGTTATTTGTGTTTTTCTTGGGCTTTATAAAAACTCTATTTATATTGTAGATACCAACCTTTTACATAACCACAAATATATTTTCTCATATCTACTCATCCTTGAAAGCTGAGGAAACTATATATTAGAATGTATAAAAACAAATCCTGTATAGAAAAACTATAGAAAAATATAAATCTCTTTTTAATCTTGGAAAAAAATCTAGGAAATTACATTGACCCGAAGAGCTTTTCAACTAAGGCTAGAAATTCAAAATCTATGAAAGAAAAGAAGCCTATTTGGATATATAATGAAGAAAACTACTTTATGTAAATCAAGGTAAAAATATTTCTACATCAAATTAACTGGAAGCCTATTTTATTGCATAGATACTGACCTCAGGATTTCAGAGTAAATGGACAGTTTTCTGTGGCTTGACAGAACTTGATTAGTAAAAAGGAAACGAACACTCAGTTTAATGGCACAAAATCCAGACTTTATTTGATAAAGTATTTTAGTCCCTGCTGTCGTTCCCTTTTGTCTCAGAAACAATTGAGGAGACAATCCCCAGAGAAAGGGTATCAGGGAGCAAATCTAAACTAAAATGAAGTATCACATCACAGAGATCTCCTCCTTCTCTCTTCCCATCAGATACCATGGTCAATTACCATAAACCACATGAGGGTTGTTATCTTCCCCTGTAAGCCAGAGAACACCCGACATTCAAAAATAGTTTCCTATCCCTCTCATTTATTTTGTAAACCTGGTGAGGAGAATTCTGGAAAGATCAATAAATACCTTCATACTTGGTAATATAATATCAGAAAAACATGTCTGATCATCTGTAATGCTTTGTACCTATTCTCATATTTTCTAAATTAATCCTGAATGGATATCTTATAATTTGCCACTTACAGCGTGAAACAAGGGAAAAATGAACAAACTTCACCATATCAGTTTTTACAATTAATAGCTTACGAAGAGGTTATTGAATCCACATGCCTCCAGTTCATCCTATTTGAATTTAAAGCTTCTTGGACACACAAATCATCCTATCACTAATGCTTAAAATAGAGGTATGTAGAACACATTTAAGAAATTTATTATATAAAACCTGCTAAAATTTGGGTGTTTTGAGCACTTATGGACGTTTATGATTATCTCACTCAGAAAAATTTGACTAAGGCTCCAGTTTCTTAATTCCATTTATTTGTTTTATACTGCTATTTGCAATGTTTTGTTATCTCTACTGGAAATTAAAACTTGAGAGCAGAGCAGTCTTAGATTTGAACCTTCTGTCTGCCTATGAAAATAATCTAGCCTATGAAAATAATCTCTCTGAACCTCTAAATTCAGATTTCTACCTGAATAATTAACCTTTTGTGAAACAGACAAAAAATATTGGCAAACTTTTCATCTATTCTAAGCCAAATTGCACTGTTGTGTGAAAAATTACTCCTAGTATTTATCCTTATACTCCAGCAGGAACATGGGGGTTCACTGTAGTATATTTAAAGCTTTTTATACATTCTCAGAGGTATGATAATTATAGAAAACTTAGAAGCAAACAATTTTTATGTCGAATGGAAAACAGAAAACTCTGGTGTTACCATAGATTAAACTGCTTCCCAAAGCCATTGAGTAACTTGCCCAGTAGTGAAGTGACTTAGTAGCAGCATCTAAACTACAGCTGTTGTCATATTTCTTATCTCAATGCTCACTGCATAGTAAACAGCTTAAAATAAAGTTTTCAGGACTTTGTTGAACCTCGTCATTCAGAATCCTCTGTCAGCCATATACTGAATAACTTCAGTATGTAGCTGATGGATGCAATCCCAACTAATATACAAGCAAACGGGTGGTGATTGTATTTATTCAGACAATAAAATTGAAATATCCTGAGTTATGTATAGATAAAAGTTCTAAAGGTCCAAATAACCCTTTTCAACTGTTGCTTTTTACAGTACTCAATTTTGTTTTTGCTTTGTTTGTTATGTTTTGTTTTGAGACAGGGTCTCTGTTGCCCAGGCTGGAGTGCAGTGGTGCGATCATGTCTCACTGCAGCCTCAACCTCCTGGGCTCAAACAATCCTCCCACATCAGCCTCCTGAGTAGCTGAAACTACAGGCGCATGCCACCACACTCAGCTAATTTTGTATTTTTGGTAGAGACAGGGTTTTGCCATGTTGCCCAGGCTGGACTGGACTCAAGCGATCTGCCTCAGCTTCCCAAAAATGCTGGGAATTCCCAGACTCAAGCAATCAGCCCCAGCTTCCCGCTGGGATTACAGGCAGGAGCCACTGTGCCTGGCCCAATACTCACTTTTTCTTACCTGCAGTTGTAAGATAGTTGCTATGCAATCTGATCCCTTTTGTCTCACATTATGAAAATATGTTCCTATGTTGACCAAAGGAAAGCTCGTTAACTCAAAATGAGAATGATATCCTCTGAAGATGCTGTAAACAGAATTCTATTCAGGACCAGAGAAATAGATTGTGTAGCCTTTTGCGATCTCAGCCATGACTGGGCACCACCATCAGCACAGGTGTAATCAGGTAAATAATTGGTTATGCTATCTGCGAGGATTTCAGAGATACAAGATTCCTACTTGTTTCCATTGTTAACAAGTCCTTCCAATCCAATGATAGTGATAAGAATAACAATTCAAATTACTTGAAACTTCTGTGTGCAAGATAATATTTCAACTTTTTTTTTTTTTTTTGAGATGGAGTCTCACTCTGTTGCCCAGGCTGGAGTGCAGTGGCACTATCTCAGCTCACTGCAACCTCCATCTCTCAGGTTCAAGTGATTCTCATGCCTCAGCCTCCTGAGTAGCTGGGATTATAGGTGTGTGCTACCATGCCCAGCTAATTTTTGTATTTTTAGTAGTGAAGGGGTTTCACCATGTTGGCCAGGCTGGTCTTGAACTCCTGACCTCAGGTGATCCACCCACTTCAGCCTTCCAAAATGCTGGGATTACAGGCGTGAGCCACCACACCCAGACAATTTTTCAACTTTTTAACAAAAGTTCTCTCTTTTAGAGTGGATATGTAAAGAGGTTACTGGATATTTGAAAGATGGGGAAATTTTGCCCCAAAAGTTAGCAAAGCAGAATATAAGAATGAGTTGTACTACAGTCTCCCCAGTACTTTTGTTCTCATGCAGGAGAAATTTGGGGCAAAATTTCCCTCACTGCTGTGGATCATGGACATTACCTATAACAGAAGTGCATTTAATACTTTTGTAATTGCTGAACCTCAGTGAGAAAGAGTAGAAGTTAATTGAATTCCTCCCTTCTAGAATTTTCATTAGTCAGGGCTTCTTGGAGAGTTTGTTTTTGGCTGTATTCTAGCAGAGAAATGCCAGATACAGGGCTGGTCAGGGAAAGCCACTGGCCCAAGTAAGGAGAAAGCATATGCAGTGTCCTCAGTGATGAGGTATCTCTTGAACAATAATTTGAAAATTATTTTAGTCTCCAATATTACAGCTAGAGAGACCTTATAACTTATCACCCAAACATGAACTCTTTTGAAGACTGAAGGGTTCTATTAGTAATTGTGTCAGAACAGCAGGAGTAAACTCGCAGTCCTGTGCAAACTGAGATATGCAGTGACCCTAATTATATAGACTGAGGGTATTTTCCAACACTTGTTAATTCAAGGAAATTGTGAACTTGTGAAATCTCTTTTTATGGATTCCATTTGTTCTGCTTTTCAGAATTCCTATAATGAGTGGCAACTCTTTTTGATTTTTTTTTGTCAATAAGATGCCGAATGCCCAATGCCCTTGCATTCCAGTCTTTAGAAAATGTCCATGTAGATTAATGTAGATCCTGTTTTAAAAATTTGTTGAGATAAAAGTCTAAATTCATATAAGATTGTTTCAGTTATAAAGTCTAAAGCAATGCTTGTCTTTATAGTAAAACATACAGTATGAATATGTCCTCACTTAAAGTTATTATATAATACATAATAATCTTTATTAATAATAAAAAGCATTATATTTGTTAAAAATTAGAAAAAGCAAGGATAAAGTTAAATATCAAAATCTGATTTTTCTCCCTCTTTCCATTTCCATTCCCCAGAAGTAACAGCTTTTAACACTTCTGTATACTTCCAGGTAATTTTATACATATATGAATACTGACCAATATGATTATATTCCCTTATGTAAACACATGGAAGCATGCTAAATACATGTTCAGAAACTTGTTTTTTTCCTTAAGGATTTGAATGTTTTTGTACATGTATATCTATATCTGAATTTATATCTATACCACATTCCTAATTTTATTGACAGCTGCATAGCATGTCAATAATATGCAGCTGTCAATAATATGCAGGGACTCATTTGAGAGGCTATAAAAGCTTTCCCTGCCATTTTATACTGAGAACTGTAGAATAAGTGAGCAAAATTGAAATACATATTGAATAATAGTTTAAAATTTATGATCCTATCCTTAAATTGACATTTTTACACTAACAAAATTATAATAAAACAATAGAGGGTGGTGGTAGCAAGATAGATGATTTGGAAATTTTTAACTGGTAGCATTGACTTATATTAGTACTTAGCAAATTTAGGGCTCTGAACAGCCTCTGCCCCGAATGTCTCAGAGTTCCTGTGTCATATGATACTTTCATTCACATTGCTGTGTGCCATTATACCAGGTAATTTACATTAAAGATCACATTTATACTTCACATCAGATAGTTATTATTATCTCTGTTGTTAAAGTTGATGGTATTGGAGTTGTGGAGAGAACAAGATAAATATTACCTCACAGAGTCATTTTTTATTGGCAACCCCAGGACATTTAAAGTTCTGAAAATCATACATAATTTTTCTCTGAGCATCAGAAGATGACTACAGTTCCTTTTGTCTACACTTTGTACCACTATCCCAGGAAGGTATTATTATACTCATTTTATAGGTGAGGAGCTTGAAGCTCACAAAGAGTAAGAAACATTCCCAGGAGGATGTAACTAATGACTTATGTAGTAGGGACATGGACCCAGACTTGTCTGCCTCCAAATTCCATGCTACTAATATCTTTTTATTCTAATTTGATAAGGTCTTAGAAGGCAAAAGATGTTTCCCTGAGATGTGTCTAATAGCTTGCTACAGCCTATATGCATAGTTTTTGAGGCGGTCTAAATAATTTTAATTGTTTCACATCGTATGTTCCCATTCATAAGTGGGAACTAAGCTATGAGGAATGACACAATGGACTTTGGGGACTGGGGGGAAAGGGAAGGAGGGAGCTGAAGGATAAAAGACTACACATTGGGTACAGTGTTCACTGCTCAGGTGGTGGGTGCACCAAAATCTCAGAAATCACCACTAGAGAACTTATTCATGTAACCAAACACCTCCTGTTCCCCAAAAACCTATTGAAATAAAAAAAAATTTAAGAAACTAACAAATTGTTTGTTTCAGATGACAAGGCAGTTTCCTTAACATTGAGAAATTAGAGTGAAAAAAATGTGTTAGAGATTATGACCGAATCTAATAATAGCTATCTATGTGGACAGTATTACAAAAATTAACCAAATGACAAAAAATCAAAGAAGAAATTTTGTGAAAGTTGTTTAAAATCAGGAATCTACTTTTTACATTTTAGCTTTCACTTTTGCAGTGATGATACAGATATAGAAAGATTAAATTTTAGAAATACTTTGGTAATTATGAGCATTTTCAACTGTATATTTTTCATGTAATAAAACAAGCAATATCAATTCTGTAAATATCTTCAAACAGGTAGTAAAATGACTATAAGTAACTGAAATAGTTAACAAATATGTGTTAATTGACTTCCTGAATTTTTCTGTTTCAGGAAACCAAGAGTTGAAACATTAATCATGAATTGGGTAAATGACAGCATCATACAGGAGTTTATTCTGCTGGGTTTCTCAGATCGACCTTGGCTGGAGTTTCCACTCCTTGTGGTCTTCTTGATTTCTTACACTGTGACCATCTTTGGCAATCTGACCATTATTCTAGTGTCACGCCTGGACACCAAACTTCATACCCCCATGTATTTTTTTCTTACCAATCTATCACTCCTGGATCTTTGTTACACCACATGTACAGTCCCACAAATGCTAGTAAATTTATGCAGCATCAGGAAAGTAATCAGTTATCGTGGCTGTGTAGCCCAGCTTTTCATATTTCTGGCCTTGGGGGCTACTGAATATCTTCTCCTGGCCGTCATGTCCTTTGATAGGTTTGTAGCTATTTGTCGGCCTCTCCATTACTCAGTTATCATGCACCAGAGACTCTGCCTCCAGTTGGCAGCTGCATCCTGGGTTACTGGTTTTAGTAACTCAGTGTGGTTGTCTACCCTGACTCTCCAGCTGCCACTCTGTGACCCCTATGTGATAGATCACTTTCTCTGTGAAGTCCCTGCACTGCTCAAGTTATCTTGTGTTGAGACAACAGCAAATGAGGCTGAACTATTCCTTGTCAGTGAGCTCTTCCATCTAATACCCCTGACACTCATCCTTATATCATATGCTTTTATTGTCCGAGCAGTATTGAGGATACAGTCTGCTGAAGGTCGACAAAAAGCATTTGGGACATGTGGTTCCCATCTAATTGTGGTGTCTCTTTTTTATAGTACAGCCGTCTCTGTGTACCTGCAACCACCTTCGCCCAGCTCCAAGGACCAAGGAAAGATGGTTTCTCTCTTCTATGGAATCATTGCACCCATGCTGAATCCCCTTATATATACACTTAGGAACAAGGAGGTAAAGGAAGGCTTTAAAAGGTTGGTTGCAAGAGTCTTCTTAATCAAGAAATAAGAAATATGCAAATGATAAGCTTTGCTAAAGACAAAATGTTTACTTAGCTTACTAACTTCTCTGTAAGTTGCCCTATTTTTGTTGTTACTGTAGAGAACAATGTAAACTCCCTCAAATAAAATTTCCTTGATGAAGAGCTATATTTACTTCTGTTGCCTTAATGTTTTCATTGAACAAGCCCCCAGAATTGACCTTCCAATTCACCAAAAATTGTAATCACAACATCTTCAAGGTTTGTCAAACATCCCATCAATGCTTGTACAATTCAATGTAAATTAGATCCGTAGAAAAGCCAGAAGTTCTTTCTCCAATATCACACACACACACACACACACACACACACACACACACTAGTTAAACGAGGCTCACTGAAACTCTCAAACCCCACCACTTCAAATTTGGATCTGAGGTTAACAATTCTAATTTTAAATTTTCCACTCCCGCATCAGCATAAGGAAATCTATAATAATTTTTATTCTAAAATTGTAACCAGATTTTCCATTTTCTTACCATATTTCTGTACTCATGTTTTTCCTACTAAATGAAGGCATTCTTTTTACTTCCTTTGCAAATCAAACCCTAGATATTTATTAGGTCCAGCTAATTTTCTTTTACATGAATTTTTTTTCATAATTCTCCCAACTATCAATATTATCTACCGTTCTCTTAAACCCTAAAGCACTTAACAGCTTAGATTCCAAAATAGCACATTATGTAATGATTTCCAAAGAGTTCTTGTTTAGTACTTTTGTCTTGCATAATAATAGTCTAATTATATTTTATTCTTGAGGGTACAAAAACTATACCATACATTTTACCACAACACCTTTAGAAGTCATCATAGTGCTGAGGAAGTAGCATGCATTTACATTATTAGTTGATTCTTTTGATTGTTGAGTGATTCATTTACATTATAATAATTTAACAACCTTGCTACCCTTCTTTATCCATTGTTTTCTTCTACTAATGCATTATACATGTAGAAAATACAATAGCTTAAAATATATTTATCATGTTTCTTATGAAAACCTACAGTAACTCCATGTACTTTTGCCATAATAAAATGTTAACAGAGAAATAAATCTGGTTTGCCAAGTTCTGACTTCAGTTTTCTCTCCTAATAGGGATAATTATCATAAAAAACATACATGGAAGCAAAATACTGATAAAGTATATTTAAAGCTTAAGACAATAATTTTCTCACTGAAAATTAATTCATTGCTAAAGGTCCAAATAAATGACAGATCAGATTACTGGAGACAAATGTGTATCTCAAAGCCAATGTCAGTGTAGTTTGGTGAATTATGAGGACATAGAAGAGAAAACAGAATTCCAGAAATTGAAATAGTTAATTTTTAAATTGAGAGGTTAATTGATTTAATTAATTTTATAATTGTAGATTTGGTTTTTAACTAGTATTTATATTGGTGTGCTGGTGTATAATTTTATACTGGTAACTTCTGTAACTAAGCTATTATCAGTTACCTTGAGAATATAAAAAATATATTAATTATTCATATAGAACAAGACATATTAAACTATCTCTCCTTTTTTGCAATTCTGAGAAATTTATTTTTCTAATACAAACCACTTTTAAGTTTTTAAGTGGTTTGTATTTTAAGGAGAATGTATTTTGGATTTTTTTTATACTTGTAGTAAAATATACATAAAATTTGCTAGTTTAACCATTTTTAAGTGTACAGCCAGTGGCATTAAGTGCATTCACATTGAGCGTCAATCTCCAGAATTTTTTCATCTCCTGAAACTAAAACTCTGTACCCATTAAACAATAACTACCCATATTCCATATTCTGTCCCCACCAGCCTCTGGTAACCACTATTCTATTTTCCATCTATGATTTTGAATACTCTAGATACCTCATATGAATGAAATCATAGAGTGTTTTTGCTTTGTGGGTTATTTCACTTAGCATAATGTCTTTAAGGTTCATCCATGTTGTAGCATGTGTCAGAATTTCTTCCCTTTTTAAGACTGAATAATATTCTATTGTATGTATATACCACATTTGGTTTATCTATTCATCAGTTGATAGGTACTTGAGTTGCTTTCACCTTTTGGCTATGTTGAATAATGCTGCCATGAATATCGGTGTATAAATATCTGTCTGAATTCCTGCTTTCAGTTATTTAGGGTATATACCCAAAAGTGGAATTGCTAGATCATACAGTAATTCTACTTTTAATTTTTTGACAAACTGCTATACTGTTTTCTGTAATGGTGGCATCATTTTTCATTCTCACCAACTGTCCACAAGGGCTATAATTTCTCCACATAGCTCATTTTAATAAAGTTAATTTTTATAAAGTGTTTTGTGATATCTATTTTATGACATAGAGAATAACCAGAAAATAGTAGAATTCTATTTGTTCATATCTATTTCTATATGCTCACTCAAAAGTTGATTAATGGAAATTACTCAAGAAGAGAGGTTTTATTGTATTAGGACATAAATATTCAAATATAAGAGCAATCGGGTCCAACCACCAATGGTAAACTAAATCTAGGGAATAAAACAACATCATATTTTGGAGGCTGAGGCAGGAGAATCACTGGAGCCCAAGAGTCAAGGCCAGCCTGGGTAATATAACAAGACCCATCTCTAAAAAAATAAAAAATAAAATTGAACATCAATGCAAAAGCTTTTACTACATGTTATATTCTATGTAATAGTAGAAATTATAAGATTGGCAGTGACTCTTATAAAGATAGAAATAAGGACATATATTCATGGTACCACATGTAGATTATTGAATTCAGTTCAATTCATAATAATCCTTATAACAGATATACCTATCCTAATAGGGAGTTTTTATGGTAAATTGCATCCATGATAACCATTTCCATTGAGGTCCAGAGAAACAAAATGTGAAAAAGAAATGACAGATAAATTGAAAAATTTGGGAAAATGTCACATAGAAAAGGAGTTAGACTTTACTTGTTGGTTTCTAAAATAGAAAGAACTTGTAAGAAGTACGTGGAGACAATATTGGTTGTATGGACGGACTTGCTCACAGTCAGTAGAAGACAAAAATTGAATGATTTGGCTTCATGAATAATAAAATTTCCCGGCCAGGCACAGTGGCTCAGGCCTGTTATCCCAGCACTTTGGGAGGCCAAGGCAGGCAGATTACTTGAGGTCAGGAGTTTGAGACCAGTCTGGACAACATGGTGAAATCCCATCTCTACTAAAAATACAAAAATTAGCCGAGCATGGTGGTGCACACCTGTAGTCCCAGCTACTCGGGAGGCTGTGGCAGGAGAATCTCTTAAACCCAGGAGGCAGAGGTTGCAGTGACCCAAGATCATGCCATTGCACTCCAGCGTGGGCAACAAGAGCAAGACTCCGTCTCAAAAAAATAAATAAATAAAAATTTAAAAAATAAAATAAAATGTCCTTAGCAACAGTTATTCAAGTATATCACTTTGTGGAAATATTTCATATGGTATTCAAATACTGGAAGGATGGTTGGATTACATAACTGATAAGATGATTTCTAACCCAGAGATTCTGTGAGTATGTGAGTATAAATAAAGAAGGAATTTAACTTAGGAACAAAATAACTGTCTAGAGCCAAAAGTTCTGATGTTTTGGAATGTTTAGTTAAAGATTAGGATGAATAGCTATCTGTAGACATTCATAGGCTGAAGCCATGTAGCCTATTATCCTCTGATTAAGCAGCATAACATTAACTTGCTTTTTATTGTTGTATGACTTTTAGTAAATTTATACAGTTGTTCACCAGTTGTACTTTATGATTGTTTCCAGTTCGGATTATTTTGAGTAATGTTTATATGAAAATGCATAGACAATGTTTTATATAGATACATTTTCATTTTTCATGAGCAAACATCTAGGAGTAGAAATGCTAGGTTGTATGGCAAATCCATGTATATACATTTTTAACAAAATACTAAGCTGTTTTCTAAAGGATTATACCATTTTATATTTTCTCCAGCAACACATGAGGGTTTTAATTTCTCCCCATCCTAACTGACACATGTTTTCAGCCTTTTGGATTATAGCCATTCTAGAGTATATGTAACAATATCTCATTATGTATTTAATTAGCATTGTCTAAGTGGCCAACGATGTTGAGCATATTTTCATGCACTTATTAGCCATTTATATAGCTCCTTTTATAAAATATACATTAAAATATTTTGCCCATTTATCAAATGAATTGTCTTATTATTATCAAGAGTTTTCTGTATATTGTAGACACAGTCTTTTATCAGATACATATTTAGCAATTATTTTCTCCTAATCTGTAGCTTTTTTGTTTCTTTTTTATTTTTGACAGAGTCTCACTCTGTTGCCCAGGCTGGAATGCAGTGGTGCAATCTGGGCTCACTGCAACCTCTGGAGGCTGAGTTCAAGCTTATTTCATTTTTAACACCTTCATTGAGATATAATTTGCATACCATAAAACTTTCTCATTTAGAAGTACTGTTCAGGCCCTGCCAGGTTCAAGCTTGTTTCATTTTTAACACATTTATTGGGATATAATTTACATACCATAAAACTTACTCATTCAAAAGTACAGTTCAGGCCAGGTGGGGTGGCTCATGCCCGTAATCCCAGCACTTTGAGAGGCCGAGATGGGAGGATCACTTGAGTCCAGGAAGGTGGAAGCTGCAGTGAGCCCTGATTGCGCCACTGCACTCCAATCTGGGTGACAGAGCAAGACCCTCTCTCAACAGAAAATAAATAAAATAAGAAGTACAGTTCAGTGGTTTTCAAGTACAGTCACAGAATTCTGTAATCATCATCACAGTTGAATTTTAGAAATTATAATTATCCCCCAAAGAAACCTTGTGTACTTTCGCAGTCACTTTCCATTTCACCTGCTCTTCACTTCCAACCCAAGCCATTGGCAACCATTAATCTACTTTTCATATGGATACATTAGCCTATTCTAGACATTTCATATACATGGAGTCATATAATATACAGCCTTTTGTGACTGGCTCCTTTCACTTAACTAATGTTTTCAAGGCCCATTCATGTTGTAACATGTTTCAGTACTTCCTTCTTTTTTATTGCCAAATAATATTCCATTGCATGGATATACTTAATTTCGTTTATCCATTCATCAGTTGATGAAAATTTCAGTTGTTTCCACTTTTTGGTCTTTATGAGTAATGTCACTATGAATATTTAAGTGTAAGTTTGTGTAGACATATGTTTTCATTTCTGTTGGTTATATATTCTACATAGGAGTGAAATTGCTGGGCCATATAGTAACACTATGTTTAGGTTTTTTTTTTTTTTTTTTTTTTTTTAAACAGAGTCTCACTCTGTTGCCCAGGCTGGAGTACAGTGGCACAATCTCAGCTCACTGCAAGCTCTGCCTCCTGAGTTCAAGCGATTCTCCTGCCTCAGCCTCCCGAGTAGCTGGAATTACAGGCACCCGCCACCAGGCCTGGATAATTTTTGTGTTTAGCCATGTTGGCCAGGCTGGTCTCAAACTCCTGACCTCAAGTGATCTGCCTGCCTCGGCTTCCCAAAGTGCTGGGATTACAGACGTGAGCCACTGCACCCAGCCACTATGTTTTCCAAAGCAGCTACTCTATTTTAATTCCCACCAACAACGTAAGAGGATACTAAGTTTCCACTTTATTGAAAACACTTTGGTATTGCCATTTTTCTTTATTATAGACACGCTGTTGGTTGCAAAGCAGTTATCTTGTGGTTTTGTTTTTATTTCCCTAATGACTAGGGATATTGAACATCTTTTCATGTGTTTATTGGCCATTTGTATATCTTCTTTGGAGAAATGTGTAGTCAAATCATTTGCCCACTTTTTAAGTTGAGTTATTTGTCTTTTTATTATTGAGATATAGAAGTTCTTTACATATTCTGGGTACAAGTACTTTGTTGGAGATATAATTTGCAAAGATATTCTCCTATTCTGTATTTTCAATTTCTTGATGGTGTTCCTTGAAGCACAAAGTTTTTAAATTGTGATGAAGCCCAATTTAAGTATTAAGAAACCACTGTGTAAATGAAGACCATAAAAATTTTTACCTGGGTTTTCTTCTAGGGTCTTATAGTTCAGCCTCTACATACATTTAGGTCTATGATCCATTTTGAGTTAATTTTTATGTATGGTGTGAGGAAGGAGTCCAACATCATCTTTTTAGATGTGCATATCTATTTGATGCTTGTCCCAGCATCATTTGTTGAACTGACTATTATTTCCTCAATAAATTATCTTGGCACCCTTGTCAAAAATCCATTGACCGTAAATCTGAAAGTTTATTTCTGGACTCTCAATTTATTCCATTGATCCATATGTTTACTTTTATGCCTGTACCGTGCTTTCTTTATAACTGTAGTTTTGTAGTAAGTTTGGAAATTAGGAAGTGTGAGTCCTTCAACTTTGTCCTTCATTATTAACATTGCTTTGACTATTTTGTGTCTCTTGCATTTCTATATTAGTTTTAAGATCAGCTTGTTGATTTCTGCAAAAAAACAAAACAAAAAACAAGAAAGCCAGCGGTGATTTTGTTAGAGATTGCATTGGATCTATAGATCAATTTGGGGAGTTTTGTCATCTTAATAATATTGTTTTCCAACCCATGAACATGGGATGACTTTCCATTTATTTAAATCTTTCATTTCTTTCTACAATGTTTTATAGTTTTCAGTGAACACGACTTTTACTTCTTTTAACAGAGGTCCAAAAGAGGTCAAACCTCTCTACTGACTGCAAGGCTGCCAGAGTTTGAATACGATGCCACTGAGCTTGGGATCCCCAAGTTAAAATATCACAGACCCCTACTAGCTTACTAAGATTCAGCAGTTTCTCTTGGATAGACCATTTAAGTTTGTTTGTTCTGTGCCTTAGCTTTATTTCCAAAGTTCCAGAAAAGACAAGTCACAGATCGGGAGAAAATATTTGCAAAACATATATACCATGACCCATGAGGCCCCTCCTCTGCCACTGCCACTGCCACTGCCACTGAGATGGTGTATCTCACTTCCTACCTATTACCTTCCCTCATGAGCAACACCTCCCTTAGTGCCAAGGACATTAAGAAGATCCTGGACAGAGTAGGCATGGAGGCAACTGATGACTGGCTAAACAAGGTTATCAGTGAGCTGAATGGAAAAAATATTGAAGATATCATTGCCCAAGGTATTGGTGAGCTTGCCAGTGTGCCTGCTGGTGGGGCTGTGGCCCTCTCTGCTTCTCTGGGCTCTGCAGGTCCTGCTGCTGGTTCTACCCCTGCTGCAGAAGAAAGATGACAAGAAGGAGGAGTCATCTGAAGAGTTGGCCTGTTCAATTAAATTCCTGGTGTCCTACAAACAAAGACTTTTCACATTAAAAAAAAACAAACAAACCAGTGTGTGTGTGTGTGTGTGTGTGTGTGTGTGTAATAGAGGCTTTGTATTCAAAATATACAAAGAACTCCAAAGTTCAACAATAAGAAAACATGTAAACCAATTAAAAAATGGGCAAAATATCTGAACTGACACCTTAACAAAGAAGACATGCAAATGGCAAATAAGCATGTAAAAAGATAGTCAATGTCATTTTTTATTAGGAAATTGCAAACCAGAAAACAGGGAGATACCACTACATTCTTATTAGAATGGACTAAAATCTAAAAAATCGACAATACCAATTGCTAGCAAGGATGCGGAGTGGCAGAAAGTCTCATTTATTTCTTGTGAGATGCAGAAGAGTACATCAATTTCCTGATCACTGCAATTCATTCCATGACCCACATAGATATTTTTCTCCCCATATGTTAGGGAAGCAGATCTCTCATGGTCTTCATGGACTTCTCTTTCTGAGTGGAAATTCACAAGGGTATCTTCTAGTTATCTATTCCAATCTCCCCCACCCTCATCTAGCATCTTGAAGGGTCTTGGTTGCTGACCTGGGATTGTGACCCAAACCTTCATTTCTAAAGGTCTGAACCCTTGGTAATCATGACCTTTTCAGTCTGAAGTTGCTGCACCTGTCTATTCATAGTTATGATGGAACACAGGAGGTAGCCAAGTAGATCTCCTGTGCTCCACATGAATGATTCTGCGGCCCTATTGTCTAAAATCAGCCCTGCTTCTTCCTGCTGATCAGAGTCAATTTCCCCTGACAGTATGGTATGGTAGTTATCTATTACTGCATAACAAATCACCCCGAAACTTACTAGCTTAAAACAATAAACGTTTATTACTTCACCATTTCTTTTAGGTTAGGAATCGAGGCACAGCTTAGTGGGGTCCTCTGGCTCCGGGTAGGTCTCACACAAGGATACAAAGTGTTGGCTGGAGCTACAGGCATCTTAGGTCTTAATGGGGTTTCCAATCTCACCCACTACCAGTTGGCTGGTCTCAGAAGACCTACTTGCAGGGTTACTCATTTAGGCCTATTCATACGGCTGCTCCATGACATGGAAGCTATCTTTCTCCACCATGAGTAATCCATCAGAAAGAGTGAGAGAGAGTGCACCTAACATGAAAGCCAGTCTTTTTAGAACCTAACATCTTGGAAGTGACATCACATCACTTCTGCTTTGTTCTAATTGTTAGAAGTGAGTCAATAATGTCACAGGATCCTTCAGGTGTCACTTCGCCAGCCAGAAACCTCTGTGGCCGTTGGCGCCTCTGCTTGAGTTTAGCTCATGCCCACTGGGCTCATTTTGCCCACTTGGCTAATTTTGCCCACTTGGCTCAGCAGGCTGCACTCGGTTTGCACTACCGGCCCAGATCCCATGCCCGCCGAGGGTGAGCCAGGCACAGAGCAGTGAAGGGTGTGTGAGTGAGCGTGGTGTCTGGCCACTGTACACAGCCAGGCGCACCGTCTGCTGTGGCGGAGTAAGCAGCTCCTAGTGCCGGCTCCATGCAAGGCTGTGGCTGGACCAGGTATACGGCAAGCAGCTTCCCCTGCAGGCACCGGGCCTGGACGAGGGGAATGCGGTGGCGCCTGAAAACTTGACGATGCCACAATGTCAGAGCCCCAAGGGGTGTTGGGCGGAGCACGTGCTACATCTCTCTCTTTCCCGCCACCTGCAGCTTGGTAAATGGATGCAGGGTGGGTTTCAGCCCGTTGTGTTGCGGCTTGTTCAGTCCCACCACCCCACTCCAGCCCACAGCTCTTGGGCTGGCCCAGCCACACGGCTGCTTCCCATTGCATGGGGCAGCCACCCCACACCAGTGGAGGTGGGTAGGGCTATAGTGTTACAGCTCTGGCAGGGGGAATCCCGAGGTCTGGGCCCTCAGAAGAGTCACTAGTCACCAGGCTTCACTCCCACAGTTTGACAAACAGGAGTGTGTCACTGCCCACATAGCTTAGCGAGCCAGCCAGGGAAGTGTTACAGCCCTTTTCACGCCTGCCATTCCATGGGTCTCGAGTTCTTGACCTGTGTCCAGGAAGAATGAGGTTATGTGGACAACTGGAGGGTGTGCAAGGTGAAGAAGAGCTTTATTAAGCAACAGAACAGTTCTCAGCAGAGACCTGAAGTGGGTAGCTCCTATTCACAGGCAGGGTTGGACTGAATCTGGGGTTTTTATGGGCTCAGAATAACCCCAGGAAGGTTATTATGAGCCCGTCCTCGAAAAGGAGGAAGTACATGCTGGGCAGGAGAATTGGTCCATGGAGAAAGTGCACGTTGATTGGTCAATGGGTGGGCCAGGAAAAAGCATCACCTGATTGTCCAAAAGGCATCAAGGAAGTTCTTACTCTATGTCTTGGACTCCATCTGGAACTGGCAACCCAACCCCCAGGCTTCAGGCCATCCTTGGCTTGAAGGTCGGGCCTCACTGCAGACCCGCCCCTTCCCACCTAGGAACCTATCTGCCTCCTGCCATCATCAATAAGACTAACTCATACTTAATAGAAGGGATTACACAGAGGGGAATATAGCAGTAAACACAATACTTAATGGAAATGAAAATATCAAAGAATGGAAAAATAATAAGCAGTTAACAAACATAATAGAATAAATAATCCAATGTTCATCTTTTTCACTGTCTTGGATAAGATAGTAATTGTGACACAATATTGTAATTTCCTCATTCTTACCTTTCTCTGGATTGTGAGATCCTTGAGGGAACATATGTAACGTTTATTTACATCCCAAGTGTCTTTCACAGTGCCTGAAAATGTTTAATGAATAGAAATATATTGCATATCCCAGAGTCATTCTGCATTATAAGATTTTATGGGAATTATTCCTGAAGGATAAGCATAGAACAAAAAAGTCAGTGATAGAGAATAGCTCTCCTAGATACTCTCACTAAATCTCTACTCATCAAAATGCCATCCAGAAGTGAGGGGATGATTATTTGAGTTATAATGGGAAAGTTTCAGATTTGATGGGGTGAATAATAATATTGGGTAAATCCCCAGGGCTGCTGAATAGCTCTAAGATGCAACTGTAAAGCAAAGGGAAGACAACAGTGACAGGAGCTGACTCACTTTAGCTCTCCACTGTAATCAGTCATTAATTGACTGTTTCTCTTCTAAGGCAGATAACCCCAGAGAGTGTTCTATTTTATGAATTATAACAAAAGTCATTTGAAACTTTTTAATAGTTGCATGCAGCATAGGAAGAACATGTTAATCAGTTCTACTCTCCCAAGAGCTGGATCCCTGTGGACATGGAGAAAACAAGATCATTGCTGTTGGTAGCTTAATTCTAATAGTTATTACAATGAGATATCTAGGGTCTTGTTCTTCCTTCCAACTTTTATAAAGAACTGCAGAAGGTGAAAATCAATTTCCCACTTGCTCTAGTTTTAAATATTACCCATTGATGTCATCACTCAGAATCCCTTAAGATTTTTCAGTTATGCAGAGAGAATCACATGAGTAAATGTAGCCATCTTTCAATTTTACCAGAAAAAAAATGGCCTAAGAAAAACTTATTTTATCAATAAATCCAAATATTTCTCATTCTTTAGTCTCTCCAATCTATAATTCCATCTTTCTTTTCTCAACTCCTTAACTATCAGGGACAATAAGTCAATTGTTAAATGAGTTAGTGGGTTGAGTATCTTTTCTTTTTACTTAGAAGACAGAGAAAACATGAAAAAACAAATGACATTAAACTGAAGCTTAATTTTAAAAATTTACTTCCAAAATTTATTTAACCCTTTTAAATGTTAAAGTAACATATAGTCATAATTATATATTACATTTTCACATGGTTATATGTTAACTTTTTTATTTTTACAAGACTAAACAGGGAAAATTAAAAATTCACTTCTTTGAAACTCCCGTTATCTTTGCATATTTATGTAAATCATAGTATTTTAGAAATTGAAGAGGAAGAAATTCTTCCAAACTCATTCTACAAGGCCATTGTTACTCTTATACCAAAAACCAGACAAAATGCAACAAAACCAGAAAACTCCAGGCCAATATCCCTAATGAACATAGATACAAAAACTCTTAAAAATATAGCAAACCAAATTCAATAGCACATTAAAAAGATCATTCACTATGATCAAGTGAAATTTGTCCTAGGGTTGCAAGGATGGTTCAACATACACAAATCAATAAACATGATATATCATGTTAGCAGAATCAAGGACAAAAACTACATGACAAATAAAAGGCATTTGATAAAATTCAACAGGCTTTATGATAAAAACTCTTGAACCAGGTGTACAAGGAACATACCTCAAAACAATAAAGTCCATATATGACAAGCTGACAGCTAACATCATACTGAATAGGGAAAAGTTGAAAGCTTCATCTCTAAGATTTGGAAAAATATAAGAATGCCCATTTTTAACACATTTATTCAACATAGTACTGAAGTGCTAATCAGAGCAAGTAGGCAAGACAAAGAAATAGAAGACATACAAATTGGAAAGGAGAAAGCCAAATTGTCCCTGTTCACAGATGACATGACCTTTTATATAGAAACCCTAAAGACACCACCAAAAAAACTGTCAGAACCAATAAACTAATTCAGTAAAGTTGCAATATACAAAATCAGCATCCAAAAATCAGTAGTGTATCTATATGCCAATAGCAAACTATCTGAAAAAAATCAAGAAAGCAATCTCATTTATAATCACTACAAAAAAAAGATACCTAGGAATAAATTTAACCAAGGAGGTGAAAGATCACTACAATAAAAACTATAAAACATTGTTGAAATATATTAAAAAGTACACAAATAAATGGGAAGATATCCATGTTTGTGGATTGAAAGAATTAACATTGTTTAAAAGTCTATGATACCCAAAGCAATCTATAGATTCAATGCAATCAAAATACTAATGATATGATTCACATAGAAAAAATAATTCCTAAATGCATGTGAAACCACACACACACACACAAAAACCCCAAATAGCTAAAGCCACTTTGAACTGTGCTTTTGCGGTCTTTGAACAAGAAGAATAAAAGAAAAAAGAATAAACCTGGTGGCACCATACCACTTGACTTCAAAATATACTACAAAGCTATAGTAACCAAAACAGCATGGTACTGGCTTAAAAATTAATATAGACCAATGGAACAAAATAGAGAACCCAGAAATAAATCTACACAATTACAGCTAATTGGTTTTCTACAAATGTGCCAAAAACACACACTGGGGAAAGGCCAGTCTCTTTAATAAATGGTGCTGGAAAAACCGGATATCCACATGCAGAAAAATGAAGCTAGATAGACCCTATCTTTTCATCATATAACAAAAATCAACTCAGAATGGACTCAAGATTTAAATGTAAGACCCAAGATGACAAAACTACTAGAAGAAAGCATAGAGGAAATGCTTTATAACATTGGTGTAGGCAAGGATCTTTGGATAAGACCTCAAAAGCCCAGAATACCAAAACAAACAAATGAGATTACATCAAGCGAAAGAGTCTCTGCACAGCAAAGGAAACAATCCAAAGAGTAAAGAGACAATCTATAGAATGGGAGAAAATATTTGCAAACTATTCATCTGATAAGGGGTTAATATCCAGAATGTATAAGGAACTCAAACCACTCCTTAGTAATAATAATAATTAATTATTATTATCTGATTTAATGAAAAAATGCTCAACATCACTAATCATCGTGGAAATGCAAATCGAAGCCACAATGAGATATCCCCCCACCCCAATTAGAATGGCTACTATGTAAAAAATAACAAATAACAAATGCTAGCATGGATGTGGAGAAAGGGGAACTCTTATACACTGTTGGTGAGAATATAATTAGTACAGCAATTACTGAAAACAGTATGAAGCTTCCTCAAAAAATGAAAATAGATTAAAATTAAATTAAATCAAATTAAATTAGATTAAATTAAAATATGATCCAGCAATCCCACTATTGCCTATGTATCCAAAGAAATTAAAATCAGTATGTCTAAGAGATATCTTCACTCCCATGTTTATTGCAGCACTGTTCACAATAGCCAAGATATCTCATCAACCTAAGTATTCATCAATGGATGAATGGATAAAGGACTGTGCATATATACACAATGGAATACTATTCAGTCATAAAAAATGAAATCCTGTCATTTGTGGCAACAAATAACATGCATTTGTTGGACTTCGAGGACATGCATTAAGTGAAATAAACAGGCACAGATAGACAAACACCACGTTTCACTCATATGTGGAATCTAAAGAAGTCTATCTCATAGGAATAAAGAGTAGAATATTAGTTACCAGAAACTCCTGGAAACCAGTAGTTAACCAGGAGAGGGGAGTATGAGGAGAATTCAGTCAATTGATACAAAGTTGCAATAAGATAGAGTAGTAAATTCTAATGTTCTTTTGCACAGTAGGGTGACTTACGGTTAATAAGATCGTATTGTAGATTTCAAAATATTCTATATTAAATATTACTCTATATTATATGCTAAAACATTATATTATGTATTAAAATATGTATATTTTTCTACAGCTAGAAGAGAGAATTTTGAATGTTCTCACCACAAAGAAATGATAAATATATGAGGTGATGGCATGCTAAATACCCTGATTTTTTTTTTTTTTTCCTGAGACGAGTCTCACTCTGTCGCCCAGGCTAGAGTGCATTGGTGCGATCTCAGCTCACTGCAACCTCCACCTCCTGGGTTCAAGCGATTCTCCTGCCTCAGCCTCCTGAGTAGCTGGTACTACAGGCACGTGCCACCATGCCTGGCTAATTTTTGTATTTTTTTAGTAGAGATGGGGTTTCACCATATTGGACAGGCTGGTCTTGAACTTCTGACTTCGTGATCTGCACCTCAGCCTCCCAAAGTGCTGGGATTACAGGCGCGAGCCACTGCTCCCGGCCTAAATGCCCTGATTTGATCATTATATAATGCATACATTGCAAAATATGACACTATACACCATAAATATGTACAATTATTATGCATCAATTTAAAAATATTTTTTAATACAAAAAATTTTTGAAAGAATAAAAAGCATAAATTGAAAATCCACTTCCTTCAAAATCCAGTTATCTTGGCATATTCATGTAAATTATAATATTTTAGAAATGGGGATGCATTATAGCTGAAATTTTGAAACACAATTTTTCAAAAGTTAATGTATTTTATTTAATATATAACTATATTTTAATAATTTCAATTTTAATATAGTATTCTTTAACAATTTATATTTACTCTCTAATACGTTTTAATATGTTTAAAAATATATTTGAAATATTTACTATGTAATACACTCAAAATATGTTTAAAATATTTTTGTTTAGCTTCCGTATCAACACACACACACACACACATACACACACATGCGCACACACACATACACACACATGCACACACACACACGCACACACCACATTTTTCTGTGACTTTATACTTTTTATTTATGAATGTACATATACTTAACCATTATTCAGTCAATGAACATTTAGTCTGTTCCCTTTTTTTATCCACAATATAACTGTGCTATGTATATATCTTTTTGCACTTATGTAAGTATTTCTAATAATAAATTCCTGAAAGTGGAATTATTGGGTTAAAGACTTGTGCATTTACCAAATTTCCAAAAATCTGGCAAAACTATCCTCCAAAAATTTAAAACTGATTTACATTCTCACACACAATTTATGAGAGTGCCATTCTCTATTATCATAGACTGAATATGACCCAACTGAAAAGTATGTGCAACATGACACCAGAAAAATAATTACTGATTGTTGTGTTAATTTGTACTTATTTAATTATGCATTAGGTTGAAAAAATATTACATGTTTTACGACCATATGCATTACAATTTCAGTAAATTGTATCTCACTATCCTTTACCCATTTGCCTTGCCCAGGTAAGCTTAATCCTTTTGATTTGAAAAAGCTTACAAATTGGAAAAAGTTCTTTGATCACTAAAAATATTTGCTGTCTGTTCCACAAATGTGTTGTAAATATTTTTCTCTGTTTTCAAAAACAGAGCAGGATTCATCTGGAAACGTATTGAGCCATTGTGATTTGTTCATTGGCCATAATACTTGATTCTTACATTCCTTTTTACTTCACTCTATTTTGATAACAATTATGAAATGATACAATTTTAAACCCAGATAACATATACATGTTCTGCTTCTGAAATTTTTTTTTTTTTTTTTTGAGACGGAGTCTCTCTCTGTCACCCAGGCTGGAGTGCAATGGCATGATCTCGGCTCACTGTAACCTCCACCTCCTAGGTTCAAGCAATTCTCCTGCCTCCGCCTCCTGAGTAGCTGGGACTACATGCACCCGCCACCTTGCCCGGCGAATTTTTGTATTTTCAGTAGAGACGGGGTTTCACTGTGTTAGCCAGGATGGTCTCAATCTCCTGACCTCATGATCCGCCCAACTTGGCCTCCCAAAGTGCTGGGATTACAGGCGTGAGCCACTGCGCCCGGCCCGAAATAATTTTTTTAGGGTCAGTCATGAGTTTCAAATAACATCGATTTGATGAAAACGCAAGCTTTCATCTCTCACAGCAATGAATGTGCTCAATGTTTCTTCTTAAGCTATGCGCCTTCCTAAAGAAATCTCTCTAATCCTTCACTTCTCTTAGAGACAATATTATCATTTTGGAGGTTCTTGGGGGCCAATTTTACCTTCTCCAAAGGGTAATCAGTGTGACTTCAGTTTTTTGTTTGAATATAATTTATTGAGCATCAGTCAACCAAATTTCATGTGTTTATTTTGTATGTCATACATTCCAGTAACTTTACCAATCGAACCTGTAAATAAAAGTTACAAATGAAGTGACAATGGCAAAAAAAAAAACTCTTTGGATTTAATATAATTTTCAATTGAAAATTATATTCAAATATAAATAAATTAGACTTTAATATTATTTCCTAAGAAAACTGACAAAATCTCAATTTTGGACAAAGAAGTGTTCAAATATTGTTCATATTTGCCCTATGTTGCCAAATGTATTTTTTTGCCCCACCAAACACCAAAAATATTTTACCATAGAAATAAAAAGTCAAATTTTAAGGATATGAACAGCTATGGCCCAGACTAAAACCTAAAAATGGTCCTAAGAGTTTTTATTCCCAATCATCTGATGATTTCCCTGATGACTCCATGATTTCCCATAAGAATTTACTCTTCTATTTCCTTCTGCAGCACTAGTTAATTACCCAAAGGAGCATGCAACCCCCATGATCTTTGCAAGAAAATACGTTGTGCCAACTTTCAGGTACCACTTTTGATCCTAAGAAATAAGCCCTCCATTTTCTTCCCCATCTGGGTCTATAAGACCTTTCAAATCTGCCTTGGTTATTTTCTGGAGTCAGCAGGACATCCTTGTCTTGGAGCTTTGGTTGACAACTCCAGAAAGCCTGGTGAACACCAGGTATTTGTCCCAAATGGCAGGTAGACAGAGGAAGAATGTGAACACTGTTTTCTATTACAATTGCCTCTTTTCTCCATAATTTAATTACCCCATTGCAATTACTCCATTTTACCTTTTTCTGAAGTAGTGCAACATCATTACTCTATCACTTACATCAAATTGTAAGAAAAGGAATCACATGGCTTTGTTCCTCTTTTATCTTCAGAAAAAAACTAGAATCTAATGCAGAGAAGAGAGTTTGGGGCTTGTCACCTTGTTTCTTGACAAGTTGAGATCATTGTAATCACTTCCATATGATTTCTGGTGCATTCGTATCATAATCATACTGTTACTTTCTATTTCTATTAACCACATAATCTTCCACAAAATCCTAGATAACAATCCAAGCCAGAGGAAATAACATGAACATTTCTTCTTCCTGTATACTTTGGGAAAGTTGAAACCAGGTAAGCCTAAATGACCAGAGAAAATAGGGAAATTTTTCTTTTACTTTGGTATACTGTATTTGACTATGGAAAATAAATTTACTATAAGAACGTCAATGTCAAGACGTTTTCACCAAAGACAAGTTTTTCATTTGAAAATCAAAATATCTGTGATAAAAATTTAAGTCCTACTCTGTATTTATTTTTTCTCATTTCCTAATTGAATATACTAATTAGAAGCAGCCCTTAATTCTGTAGATTGCATTGTAGTGTGAGGTATATTTCACACCCATATTGTACCTGCTGTTCTGCTATTTTCACACTTCTCCTTTTCTCTGTTATTTCACTTTTATCCTAGTATCCTTTAACCCAGTTATGAGTGTGTGTCTTTATGAATCGATCTGACTTTATTCTTCTTAGCCATGTTAGGGTCATTTTTTAAATTTATGTTTTTAAATGATGCTTTTTAAATTCCTTTTTATTTACCACATTCTCCTTCCCTTTGTCTCTACTCGTCCCTATTGCCGTGCACCTCTCCTCTGTAAGCTAATCACATTGTTTTTTAACATTTGCAAAAGGCTAACTGAAGATAAAATATATTCAAAATTGCCATTTTATTAATGGACAGAATATGCTCCCTGACTTTGGCAATCTTGGTTGCAAAATTCTCTTGCTTACAAAGACATGAATTGTAGAGATCAAAGTTGACAGTAAGTATTTCACGGGAATAAAGAACTGTGATATTTAGTAGATACAGTTATAACCTAAGTGAAAAGATAACATTAACACTGTAAAGTAGATGCATACTTATGCCACAGTAATTAGATCATAATAGTTCAGCTCATGGTGGGCAGTAATTTCCCTGTGTCTTGTGTTTTTCAAAAATGCAAGTAGTGAGCTCAGCCATGGTGTCACATTTTCAGGTCATTGTCAACATTGAGGGCATGTAGAAGACAGCTATTAGGTGACAATACATTTGCTAACCTTGTTTATAAGAACAGTTGAAGGAAAGTGAATGTCTTAGACTACAGAAAATTTAGTCAAGATGTAGTAAATGCCTATAATAGGTTAATGGATATTGGCCAGGTGCAGTGGCTCACACCTGGCCAACATCCATTCAGTTCAGCACTTTGGGAGGCCAAGGCAAGAGGATCACTTGAGGCCAGGAGTTTGATACCAGCCTGGGCAAGATAGTGAGACCTTATCTCTACAAAAACATGAACAAAATTAGCCGGGCATGGTGGTGTGCGCCTGTAGTCCCAGCTACTCAGCAGGCTGAGGTGGGAGGATTGTTTGAACCTGAGAGGCAGAGGTTGCAGTGAGCTGAGGTTGTATCATTGCACACCAGCCTGGGCTACAGAGCAAGACCCTGTCTCAAAAACAAACAAACAAACAAAAAAACAGTTAATGATGTAATAGGAAGAGGTATTAGATTGATGTGTATTCAATAAATTTAAAATAGTTTGTCTTGTGCATCATAGGGAGAAAATGTCTACTTAATAAAAAGAGGATTATAAATAAGAATTTCCCAACAATGAAACACTTTGCCTTATGTGTTTGAACAAATGATAAACAGCTTATATAGCTAGCTGGGCAGAAGATATGCTACAATTATTGAATGGGTTGTTAGGCTTGATAGTTATATGTCCCCCCCAAATCCTGACATTCAATGGTATTCACATATTGCAGATTAAATATTCTTCATTTTGTCCCTACTAGCTATACAGATGATGTGAAAGGAAGGCAATGGAAAAATCCAATGTCAGCTCAGTGTATGGTTTTATCTTGGTGGGTTTCTCTGATCGTCCCAAGCTGGAGATGGTGCTCTTTACAGTAAATTTTATTCTGTATTCAGTGGCTGTGCTGGGAAATTCAACCATAATCCTTGTGTGTATATTAGACTCTCAACTTCATACCCCAATGTACTTCTTTCTGGCAAATCTTTCCTTTCTAGATCTCTGCTTCAGTACTAGTTGCATCCCACAAATGCTGGTAAACCTCTGGGGCCCTGACAAGACTATTAGCTGTGCTGGCTGTGTTGTCCAGCTTTTCTCTTTCCTTTCTGTCAGGGGAATTGAGTGCATCCTTCTGGCTGTCATGGCCTATGACAGCTATGCTGCAGTCTGCAAACCGTTGCGCTATCTGGTCATTATGCACCTCCAGCTGTGTCTAGGACTGATGGCTGCAGCCTGGGGGAGTGGACTGGTCAATGCCGTTGTCATGTCACCACTAACAATGACCCTCTCCAGAAGTGGCCGCCGCCGAGTTAACCATTTCCTCTGTGAAAGCCAGCACTGATCAAGATGGCTTGTTTGGATGTTCGTGCAGTGGAAATGCTGGCTTTTGCTTTTGCCGTTCTCATTGTCCTACTGCCCCTCACTCTTATTCTTGTCTCCTACGGCTACATTGCTGCAGCTGTGCTAAGCATCAAGTCAGCTGCCAGGCAATGGAAGGCCTTCCATACCTGTAGCTCTCACCTCACAGTGGTCTCCCTGTTTTATGGGAGCATCATCTATATGTATATGCAGCCAGGAAACAGTTCTTCCCAAGACCAAGGCAAGTTTCTCACTCTCTTCTACAACCTGGTGACTCCTATGTTGAATCTGCTCATCTATACTTTAAGGAATAAGGAGGTGAAAGGAGCACTGAAGAAGGTTTTGGGGAGGCAATAATGAACTGGAGAAATATGATAAGTTGTGAAGTCTTAGGCAAAATATCTTTTCCAAATACATTTATTTTGTGCTTATAAGAAATCTAGCCAATGTATCAAACATTCTTGGATTTTTAAAGTATGAATAAATACACTGAAGTATATCCAAAATCAATATGAATCAACCATAGCTACACTTGATATGAATAAGTCTTAGCCTAATAATATTTAGTAAAAAGAATTAAGTCCCAGAAGAAATGTGAAATGACTCTCATATAGATATAAAATAAATGTGTTAAAGATTTTTATTCAACTCAATCAATGAGGGGCCCACACAGATGTAATAAGTGGTTCAAAAAAAAGTCAAAGAAGCACAAATTTATAAGGAGTAAATCAATGTGGAAATGCATGTGCAAATAGAGGCTAAACTTGCTTCTTCCACTGTGGGAGAAGGAAGTAAATTCAATCTCTACCCAACAGGACTGAATTTGTATGTCATAGACAAGAATTATTTTACATTGCTATCAGTTAATAATTTACAAAATTGTAAAATATCTGCCACAGAATCAGAATCAGATTGTTCAAAGGGATGTCCTCTAGAATCTGGACAATGCATAATTTTTCACTGAAGCATAAATTTTTCCCTGTAAGTTAAATCCTGTATCTTATTCATGTTACAACACTAAGTATATAGTCTCAAGCCTCTTAATTAACCTGGGTCACACAGAGAATAAGTGGGATTTGCAAATGGTGTATATGATGCCTGAACCTTTGCTGTTAACCACTGAATAATATTGTCTTTGTTATAGAGTGTTGGTGCATAGATCACTCAATAATCAGCCCCAGGCTGTTTGTTTCATCAGTTTGTACAATCCTTCAAGCATGAGGGATATGCTAATAGACTCTCTGAGAGAATTCTCACCACTTATTAATATCAGCCATTTCCACATTGTCCCATGCAAACTCCCCATCCAAATCTTTTCCATGTTTTGGTGGTCAGCTCAATGCAACATACTTATAAAATTGTCTGAGAATCTTTGATTTAAAAATGTTCTAGCACTCCTTTTAACATATGGCATTTTTATACACTGAAATGACAGGTTTTCTACTCCATATTATACTTATGTATTTCTCATGTATCCTACTAGATTGTAAGTTCCTTGATGGTAGGGCTATTTATTTTCTTAATCTCTCTTAGCATCATTCCAGGTATTAAGTTGATATCAAAGTGCCTTGCAGATAGTAAGTGATCAATAGTAGCTTGGGGTGATTATTAATTTTAACTGATTAATTATTTCTTCCATAAATTATTTCTTCTTTTTTAATTGATGCCACTATCTAATTCTGTCTCTGTTCTTCAAAATTACAAATAAATCTATAACAATATAATGTCTCAGTTTAAAGCTATTGTCAAAAGTTTTATACTTTTCTTTCTTAATTCAATGTAAACTATACAATAAGAGAAAAAAATAGTCATTAAGGAATTTCTTACCATGGGTATCAAAAGTCATCCCCATATTTTTGGAATAAAAACTTTTTTTCTTAAATATGCATTATAAACTCAAGAGAAATTATGATGAATTCTGCCACAGTCTAAGAATTAGTGTTTAAGAATTAGTTTGAGAGTTAGTTAAGAATTAGTTTGATCACACGTTTGAATTAACTAAGAGTTAACACCACCTGGACAGATCATTTTCAGTGATATGAAAGTTAGTTTTGGCCACAACATGTTGATTATACCTCTAACTCTGATTATACCTCTAAGTCAATTTTATAAAGATAAAATCTTGATAGTATTTGTTCTTGGTTTTAAAGAGTGTCTGCCTCAATATGCCCCAATGTATCCAAATAAATAAGTAATCACTCCCTTAATGCAATTAATTTGGTCAGTCTAAAAAGAATTAGGGCCAGAGGTAACTTTTTATGTGGGACTCAAAATCCTACCAATGTTACACATTACAAATATTTATGATTTGCAGACATAACACATTCATTGGCAAGTAAGTGCAATAAATTTACAAGTTATTTTGCCAAAATATGTCAAGTAACATTTTATTCACTTGCACAAAAATAAATATATCATCTGTGCAATAGAAATATCTGATGACAACAACAGTGCAGCATTCTCAGTTCCAGAAGAAAGGTGAATTGGCTCTCATATAGATATAAAATTACTGCTAAAATCCCTGCTATGCTGCAGTCTGCAAAACCTTTGTGCTATATGGTCATTATGCACCCCCAGCTGTGTCTACAACAACAGTGCAGCGTTGGCATGCATGTGACAACAGTGCATCCAATCCTCTTTGGATTGGCATAAGAAGGATATTTCTCCCCTCATTAAAATGGTTTTCTCTCATGCAATTTCTTTATGGTCTCAAGTTCATTATTCCCTATTTGTTACCCATTTCCCATTGTTAAACATTAAAACCAGCAAAAATATTTTTTAAAAAAGCTTCTGTAAATATAAGTGGGAAAATATATGTTTGCAATTCATAGATGTGCTGGAAAGTTATGAAGGCCAGTGGGAGTGATTATATTTACATAATACCAAATTTTACACTGAAAATAGAAATTACTTTTAATGAAGTTACTGCAATGAGCAGGTGGAAAAAATGCTTTAAATGAACTTACTTTTGTCTCTGGTGCAGAGTTGCATATACCATTTTTTAAAGCTACAGAGATTTAAGTTAGGGGACATCTAGAATTTCTATTCTTGTGATAAATGTACAAGCCCCCATAATACGTGTTATAGATTTGGTGATTTCCAAACAGCTTCTACTTCTCTGCTTTTTGTATTTGTTTCAGAAGACATCAATAGTAATTTAATATCTTAAAAAGCCATGTTCATTTTTCATATTCTGTGTTTTACAGAGTATTTGTCTTGAAATAACATATTGGCAGTATTCTTAAGACCGAGAATAAAAAAAAATGTTTTGCTATTCGAGGCCTAAAATCCAACTAAAATAATTTGTAAAGGTGTAACAGAAGAAATATGAATATGGAATGAGTGCCATGTATCAGTTCTAAAATAAATTTTGTAGATTGTCGATCCTATAAGATCTCCCTTTTATTCATGGTATATATACTCCCTGTAAATGTGTTCAGAATTTTTCACAACAGAACTATCTACTGCATCTGTACTGCATTGCCAAAGAAATTCTTCTGTTGGATCTCAGAAGTTCTTAGTATCTTTAGTAGTTTTTTTAAAAGGATAAACTAATTCAAACCTCTTTCTACTAGAGTATTTTATTGTAAGAGGAGATCATTTTTGTGGAAATAGTCACTAAAATGAATAAATCCAAAATGTGAGAATATCACTCATCATTATGAGACTTATTAAAAATAATAGTTATCAGCTTGAGAAGAGAGGACGGCTCACAAACCTCCACAAAGACATAGCTGTTCACATTCACTCTGTGTAAAAATAAATATCACAATTATAACTGATAAGAACATTTAAATAATATTTACTTTTTTTGAGACAGTCTCACTTTGTCACCCAGGCTGGAGTGCAGTGGCACAATCCAGCTCACTGCAGCCTCAACTTACTGGGGCTCAAGTGATCCTCCCACCTCAGCCTCCCTGGTAGCTGGGACTACAGGTGTGCCCCACTATGCACAGCTAATTTTTCTATATTTTGTAGAGATGGGGTCTCACCATGTTGCCCAGGCTGGTCTCAAACTCCTGGGCTCAAGCAATCTGCCTGCCTCAGCCTCCCAAAGTGTTGAGATTACAGGAGTGAGCCATGGCGCCCAGGAAATATTTACTTTTTAAGTATAAAAAGTAGCTTCTTTCTTCTGGTTTCTTGTTAAAAGTGCCAATATCTTCTTCTTCATGATTATGAAGAAAAATAAAAAATTCTGTTTCACCTTGTATAGTAACTGTTTCTAAAATTCCAGAATTGATTGGTTCTCTGAAAAACAAAAATCTATGTTGACTATAATTTGTAATGCCCTCAGCTAGTGTCTCTGCTATATATACCTCTATGTTATAAGACTATGGGAACATTCTTCAAAAATATTATCTAAAGAGCCCATGTAAAGATTATCATGGAATAATACAATGAGGAAATTTAATTATTCTGTGACATCAAACATATGCTTGCCTAAGAAACCTAAAAAAAGTTAAATTATTTTTGAAATTTTCAGTCAGATATTTCTATTGCACAGATGATATATTTATTTTTGTGCAAGTGAAAAAAATGTTACTTGACATATTTTGGCAAAATAACTTGTAAATTTATTGCACTTACTTGCCAATGAATGTGTTATGTCTGCAAATCATAAATATTTGTAATGTGTAACACTGGTAGGATTTTGAGTCCCACATAAAAAGTTACCTCTGGCCCTAATTCTTTTTAGACTGATCAAATTAATTGCATTAAGGGAGTGATTAACTATTTATTTGGATACATTGGGGCATATTGAGGCAGACACTCTTTAAAACCAAGAACAAATACTATCAAGATTTTATCTTTATAAAATTGACTTAGAGGTATAATCAGAGTTAGAGGTATAATCAACATGTTGTGGCCAAAACTAACTTTCATATCACTGAAAATGATCTGTCCAGATGGTGTTAACTCTTAGTTAATTCAAACATGTGTGATCAAACTAATTCTTAAACACTCCAGCTCAATACTTCATTTGTAGGTTATAATCTTTCCATAGGGTAGATGCAGGTTTTCATGAAGTTATTATTATTTTTCGAGACAGGATTTCACTCCTGTAGCCCAGGCTGGAGTGCAATGGCATGATTTCAGCTCACTGTAACCTCCGCCTCCTGGGCTCAAGTGATTCTCCCACCGCAGCCTTCTTAGTAGCTGGGACTACAGGCGCATGCCACTATGCCCAACTAATTTTTGTATTTTTTGGTAGAGATGGGGTTTCACCATGTTGCCCAGGCTGGTCTCGAACTTCTGAGCTTGGACGATCCGCCAGCCTCAGCCTCTCAAAGTGCTGGGATTACCGGCGTGAACCACCGCGCCCGGCCTACTGGTTTTCATGAAATTATAAAATGACCCAGAAATTTAAAAAAACCTTTTCTCCTGTGGATAGACTTTTGTCATTAATTTTTTACAGTGGATAAAATTATTGTTTACATTTAGATTTAGCCCTAGGTTTTAGAAAACATCCTCCTTTTTCCTTTCTGGTCTTCAACAATATGTATTTTATTTCAAAAAAGAGTGGAAGAAGAAAGAGCAGAGATATTTTAGTTACTGAACATTAGAGTTGGATCCCAGCTCTGCCATATTTAAATTTACATCTTTCCCCAAGCTACCTAATTTCTCTCATTCCTGAGTTATTTAGCTGCAAAATCTGAATTATTATATAAATTTCATGGGGTTATTTTTATAGTAATTAATACTATATTGCCATCAATGTAAAAATTTTCTTTAACTGTAAAAAGACACGACAATCTATGTAGGTGTCTGAAAGCAAATGTGGTTGAGAACAGGTAGCTATTGAGGCAGGCTCCCCTGAGGTGGGATTTGGGAATGGCAGAGGGATGACTGCAGACCCACTGCCACCCTGGTTGTACTACTGCTCAGCCTCACCTATCAGAATGTATCATTAGACTAAGGAAACAACCAGCTTCCTCCAACTGAACAGGAATAACTCCCAGATTTTTACTCTTCCTCCTTAAGTCATTGCAACTTTAAACAAATGGTTAAATTGCCCTAAATGGTTCCAGAAATATTCACCCGCATTGTTAAGTTGCTTCAACTTTCAATCTATACTTAAGTCTATAAACTTCATTAGTATTATTAGAAATGACAATTTAATTTTCCTGTTTTAAATCTCAACATAAAACTTCTGTGGGCCTAGCTATGATAAATTCCGGGTGATAGCAAACATTCTGACATGATCATATTACAATATGATAATTTCAGAAAAACTGGTTCTCTGTTAGTAGAAGGAATACAATCAAACAAAATTAGTCATTAGTAATACTTGAACCATAAAAACCTCTTGAATTATTTGGGGAATAATAAGTATTTCCTTTGTTTGAAGAACTGCATATTTTGGGCTTCTGAAAACTCATACTACACTTTTATTAGTATGATATCAGCTCTTTGAGAGGGATGGAAACAGCAGATCTATGAGTCCTGTAAGAGAGACACAATAAGCCCTACCTTAATTTTCCCTCAGGTTCAACAGAGAATAGAGTAACCAGCATTAAAGGTGATGCCACTAATAATCCACTCTACATGCAGGATCACTGGAGATGAGCCTAGGGGCCAGAGGCACTTGTTTGTTTGGCTCAGGGAGGTGACTTCCAGGAATTTGGATCCTAGGTGACATCTTCAAGCAAATAACACAAATATGACATGACCATTTGGTTACCTCCTGGGTTGTGGAGTCTTAATAAGACTCCCTGCTACTCAGTTCCCTCAATTAGTCATTGTGATGACTGCAGAAATACCTTTCTTATTGAAGATAGCATAGCACCAGTACCTTTGTTGCCTCCCTTGGGTTACCTTCATCATAGTTCATTGTGTTCTTGATTGTCAGGTTCTTGATTGTTCTACTTTTTTGACTAAATAATTCTGTTATATCTCTTCCCAAGACCACATTAAATATCTTCAGGAGTATGGCATATATATATTGCTGTAGTTTATGGTTCCAGACAGTCCCTTTTTCCCAGCAGCAGAGGGAGTTGGGAGGGTGAGAGAATGATCCACGGACCGCTGGTTTTTCCTTCTTAAACTGAAAAGTGATCCTACTGCTTTAGTAACTGTATGAATCTGAATTGATAAGGGTAGATAATTATAGGCCATACTTCAAATCCTACATGCAGACATTGCCATACTATTTAATTTAGTGGCAAGAAAATGATAGAAAAACTTTCCAAACTTTAATCACCTATCCTGTACTCAAACTTTGACTACTTCTTTCTCAAAATTCTATTTCTTTTATTAAGTGCATAAAATTTCATTAAGCACAATCTTTTGATATGATACAAATGTATCATTGATTGATGTATAACAATCTTGATATTTTAATATTAATAAATAAATGTGGTATATTTAAGAGGAATCCCATACAATGGTCAACATGAATGAACTTCACTTATACACACTAATATGAATGAATCTAGTAGCAATATTAAGAAAAAAAGTAATTCTCAGAAGATACAAGTAATATACTAGCCTGTTTATAAGTTAAAAACAAATAGAACTAAACCATGTACTTTTAGGATTACCAATATGTGTCATAAAACTAAATACAAGGGAATGATAAACATAAAATTTAGGGTAGTCATTTTTTCCAGTGAAAGAGAACAGGGATATGGAAAGGTAAGAACCCTACGTGCAGATATAAGTTACTACCAACATTCAGAATCTCTTGTCAGATGGTGGGTTCACGTGTGTTCATGACATATTTTTAAAATAACATTATTTGTATTAGTCTAAGGCTTTACACCTTTACATAGAAGAGAGACACAAGCAGCAACTTTTTGGGAAGCTGGAAACCAGGTTAGTGGATCCAATTAAGCTGAAAATAACCCAGCTGGAGAGTGGGGAAAGTGGAAGAACACAAGCAAGCTGATTTATTTTGTATAACCTTTGATAGTGGTTGGATTGTGAGGCTTTAGCGATTTCTGAATGTGAGGGTGCAAGTAAGTCTCAGGAGAGATTATTTTGAAAGTCTGTGTAAGACACAAATAAACACCCATTTCTCCCCTCACTCCACCAGCCAAGTGATCATTCTCCCCAAACTTTGGCAAAAATGTAGTCTTCTCCACTGTGAGGTTGAACAAAAAGGAAATCAGACTCTGAAATCCCAAGCTTAGTCCAGTTGAGTAATCCACTGAAAATGAGGGAATGAATGAGAGTCTAGATATTGAATTGTGAGACTCCCCTAATCCATGTTCTCCCACTGGTTTGAGACCACTATCAGACTTGTTTATGAATCCCACCAGAGTCTTTGAAAGGTTCTTCTTTGAGTAAATTGTCCATACCCTGCCCACCAAAAGGCCTATTGACACTGATGGTTACGGATCTCTGAAGAGAATGGCAAGCCAGAGCCATCTCCAGCAAAACCCAACAAGTTGCAAGTCCTGTCCACACAGCACTTGTCCCATTATCCCATCATCATATTAGTACTCCACTCTCAAAAAAATAATGGTCAGTCACAGATGAAGGAAAACCTCTGGCATAAAGGAACTGATTACCTATCTATTTAGATATGCTATCCAAATTCCTGACCAAATTGGAGCAGAAACCCTTTAATACTGTAAACAAACAATATCTTTATAAAATTTTCTGACTTAGAGGTCTAATCAACACATTGAGCTCAAAGCTAACTTTAAAATCATTGCAAATGATCAGTCCAGATGGTGCTAATTTTATATTTGATTAAAATACCTGATAGTCAAGTTGTCTAATCCTGGAACACTCCAGCTGAAGTTCTCATTTATGTACTATGATCTTTTCATGGGGTGTATTTTTCTTAGTAATGAAATGTTGGTTTGATATTCAATGAAAGATGTGAAAAATTTCTACATTGAAAACTAACAAATATGTATAAGAAAATTAAAGACAATTTAAATAAATGTAGAGATATAACATATTTTTATTAGAAGTTCTGCATTTAAGATATACATTTTTTCCAAAAATGACCTATTGATAGCATCCCAGTCTAAATCCAAGCAAGATTTTTTATAGAAATTAACAAAATGATTTCAATATTTACATGAAAATGCAACAGATTAAAGAGCCAAAATTTTTCAGAAGAAAAAGTTAATGGAACAGAATAAAACAAAATAAGTTAATGGAACAGAATAAACTCCATCAATAGATTTAAACATAAATACTCACTCCATTTCTTTAAAATGTTACTAAAGCATTTTAATGGAAAAAGAAAAATTTTGAATAAATGGAGCTGGTGTAACTGAATATCCATGTAGGGGAAGAAAATCCTACCTCACACTATTCACAAAAAATAAATTGAGATGAGTCATAAAACTAAATGTGAAAGATAAATCTACGAAGTTTTGTTCTTATTATTCATTACTGCATAACAAATCACCTCGAATTCTAGAGGTGAAAAAATTGCAACTATTTATTATGTTATGATTGCATGAGTTAGGAATTTGGACATGACACAATAAAGATGTCTCATTTCTGCTCCATGATATCTGGGGCCTCAGCTAAGATAGCTTGAAAGGCTAAAAATGGCTGTTACAGCTTATCTGGGGCCAAATGTCTGGGGCTTCATTTCTTCTCCACATAGCATCTTTTGGGAGTAAAACATCCAAGATTAGCTTTCACTTACATTTGATGCTTGATCTGAGATGCTTAGAACAGCTGGGTGCTTACTGGGACAACTCTTTCTCCACCATGGTGGTCTCAGGGGAGTTAGACTTCTAACATGATGTCTGGTTTCCTCTAGCATGAGTGTTCCTTCCAAGAAACCATGGCAGAATCTTGAAGGCTTCCTATGACCAAGGCTCCATAATTCCAGCATGTAACTTTCACTATATTCTGTCAATCAAGTGAGTCACTAAGGCCAGCCAGACCATATTCAAGGGGAAAGAAAGAATACATTCTTTCTATTATTGGGAGAATTATGTGTGCAATGACACAATCTACCACAAGCTTGGAAAAGAGAATATAGACAAAGATTTCTTAAACAGGGCACAAAAGATACTAACAATATATGGGGGAAAATGGTAAGTGAGAATGCATCAAAATTTAAAACTTTCTGTAATCAAAGACACTGCTGAGAACATCAAAGGGCAAGCCACTGAGTACTAGAGAAAATACTTATCATACATACATCTAATTTTTAAGTGACTCATATTTAGAACCTGTAAAGAACTCCAGCATAAATAAAAAAGAAAAATAGCAAAAATTTTTTAAATGGGCCAAAAATTAGAAGAACTTTTGCAAAAAGAAATCCAAGTGGCTGATAAACATATGAAAAGGTACTCAATTCAGTACTTTTTTAAAAAAATACAAATTCTAAGTACAATAAGATCTCAGTAAACAAAATGGCTAAAAATACAAAGGCTGACAATACCCAGTGGTGGTGAAAATATGGAATAACTTGAACTCTCATACATTGCAGATGGGAGTATTAAAATGGTACAACCATTTTGGAAAGCTGATCAGCAGTTCTTATAAAGTTAATCATACACTGTATCAGTTATCTATTGCCACCTTAACTAACCAGATCAAAGTTTAGTAGCATAAAACTATATATATATATATATATGTGTGTGTGTATTTTTTTTAAGATAGGGTCTCGCCATGTTGCCCAGGCTGGTTTCAAACTCCTGAGCTCAAGCAATCCACCTGCCTTGGTCTCCCAAAGTGCTGGGATTACAGGTGTGAGCCACTGTACCCAGCCTAATAATTCTTTCTTTATGATTCTCTGGGTCAGTAACTCGGTTTGAGTTTAGCCAAGTGGTTCTTCCCCTAGTCTTGCACAGAATCACTCGTGTCACCACAGTAATACAGCTCAACTGGGACCAGATTTTCTAAAATAGCTTCACTCAAATATCTGGTAAGTGTTATTGATTGAGCTGCATGTCTTCAGCAAGCTAGCCCAGGCTTCTTTACATGGCATCAGTGTTTCTAATGGGCAAGCCCCAATGTACAAGCACTTCTTAAATCTCTGCTTAGGTCATGTTTGCTAATGTCACATTGGCCAAAGATATCGATGTGGCCAATATGTGAAGGAACTATAATTCAACCTGGATTTAGGAAGGAGACCATTACTTAACAATATACCACAAATACCTACCTATAACCCAACAATTCATTTCCTAGGCATCTACCCAAAAGGAATGAGAATGAATGTGTATGTTCACAAAAAAACTTGCACTGTGTCTACTGTTGACTCTCAGATCCCCAAAAGATCACCATATAAACCTGTTGATCAAAGCTGAATTTATTGGACCTATTGCAGAAAGGGAAAATATTGTCTTAACACTGTTAATGGTGTCTCAAAATGGTAAAACTGGGGAAGAGTATTTATAAGGTTTGAGAAAAAGATAAGTGATAATAAAGTAAATTTGGCAAGACAGGGAACTTGTTAGTGTTGGGCAGTGTTTATAAGTTGATAGCTTTGGACTGGTGGGCACAGCAAAGCAAAAGTCTTGAAGAAAATCTTGACAAGTGACCTATTGGTATTTCTTGGAGCAAGCAGCTGAGTTACTATTGCTGGTCTCCATACTGTTTAAAGGAGGGATTGGGAATTGTGTCTGGTCCATTTAGTTCAGGGACAGGAAACTACGTTGGCTTTGGTTCTCACCACACAAACAGTCTGATATTCAGCCTATATTAGATAGTGATTTCTTTTCTGTGTCTGTTTTAACAGTGTCTCTTTAAATGTCATCTTTGTTTCTGAGTGTAAGAAATAATCAGTTTAGTAACTGGGAATTTTTTAAAACCCTACATTTCATATTTTGAATTCAGATTATACCTAATCACAACTCCTTTACACTTAAGTTTCAGAAATGGCAACATAATCATGCTCATGTATAACTAATAGAATTGGTCCTCAGCATACTCTTTAAAAGTATTGATCATATTAATCCTTTATAAACAGAAATAGCTGAAAATAGTGTTATTAATAACTTTTTACCCAATTGAATAAATTTTTGGGTATTTGAAAAGCTCAAGTAATTTTCATTCTTCTCATTGCCCCTAATTTTTCACTCATACCCACTCATAAATATTATCTTCCAAAGTTAAGTTGTTGGAACTTAAGTTTCCAAGGTTAAGTTGTTATTAACTCACTTTAAAAAGCCCAAATGATTTCATGATTTTCATTGTAATTATATAATTCAACAAATATTTATTAGACACCACTTAAAATATATTGGAAGGCAATTAACATATCTTCTGCTTCCTTAGAATTACTGGACTAGTGTGGGAGAAGACAATAAACAAAATTCATAGATAAAAGCACAATTTCAATTTGACATGACACCAACAATAGTGATACTTGTGAACATGTATGAGTGCCAACAACTGTTTTAAGTTCTTTATATATTATTTAATATTTATAAAAATACATGATTTAGGTCTAGTTATCATTATTTTTACAGATAAGAAAACTGTTAAAAATCTATAATCATACAACTAAGTGGCAGAGTTGGGTTTTAATCCAAGCCATCTGAATCCAGCACTGACTTTCTGTGACTTCTCTTCCTAAGTCGATAAGTGCTCAGTATAAGAACTGTAGCCACAAAATATAAGGTGTCACAGTAAGATGTAGATGTGGGCTAAGTGAGAACTTCACTATTAAGAGAATTAAGTGGTGACCTAAAGGATAAAGTGTCATTATACAGGTAAAGGAGTGGAGAGAGAATGACTTACAGTTTTAGGGAATAACAGATTTCAAGGACAGGAGGTGGGAAAAGGGTTTAAACGCCAAAGAATTTAGACAAGGACAGCATGTGGTGCAATGGGGAGACAGAAGAGACTGGAGTAGATAGGAACCAAATCACACAGGACCATGAAGGACATGTTAAATATAACAAAAGCCATTGAAATATTATATGCATAGGGATAAAGTCTTAATCTGTTCAGGTTGCTATGACAAAATACCATAGACTGGGTGGCTTGTAAACAACAGAAATTTACTTTTCACAGTTCTGGAAGCCTGAGGTGTAAGATCAGGGTGCCACCATTGTTGGGTTCTGGCGTGAGCCCTCTTCTGAGTTGCAAACTTCTGACTTCTTATGTCCTCACATGGTATGGGGGAAAGAAATTTCCCTCAGTTCACTTTTACAGGGGTATTAATCAAACTAATGAGGGCTCCACCTTGATGACCTAATCACTTCCCAAAAGTCCCATCTCCTAATACCAACACTTGGGGATTAGGATTTCAACATATGAATTTTAGGGCATACAAATATTCAATTCAGTCTATAGCAGATAACATGATAATAATGCATTTGTAAATGACACTGTAATTATAGTGTGAAGAATGGACGGTAAGGGAAAAAGAATTGATATATGGATAGAAGACTATCATAGGAAACAGAGAGATGACAGTGGTTTATATTTGTATGGTAGCAAAGAAATATAGAAGTAGAGGGATTGAACCTATTTTATAATTAGAATTGACTAAATTTGGTGATAGATTAAATGTTGAGAGTGAAGGAGAAAGAAGTGTTAAGAAATTCATCCTTCCTACATCTTTATTTCAAAATCAGATGCTGGCCAGGTGCAGTGGCTCACACCTGTAATCCTAGCACTTTGGGAGGCCAAGGCGGGTGGATCACCTGAGGTCAGGAGTTCAAGACCAGCCTGGCCAACATGATGAAACCCCAATCTCTACTAAAAGTACAAAAATTAGCCAGGCATGATGGTGGATGCCTGTCATCCCAGCTATTCAGGAGGCTGAGGCAGGAGAATCATTTGAACCCAAGAGGTGGAGGTTGCAATGAGCCAAGTTCATACCATTGCACTCCAGCCTGGGTCACAAGAGAAAAATAACTCCAGTCTCAGGAAAAAAAAAAAAAAATCAGATGCTGACAGATTGGTGGGGACCTAATAGGACCACAAGTTACGTGAACTCACCATTCAATTCCTTGTCTCTCTGTAGTTATGTGCCACTATATAATTTCTACAATTATTTTATAATTATATGCCATCCTTTGTAATATTTGTTAATCATGAACCTATATCTCCTCCTTAATCTTACTTTAATACTTGAGTGATAATTCATTCATTTTTGTCATCATGTATACTCTCATCCTAAAATTCCCAAGGTATGAAAAAAAAAAACCTTCAGGATAATTCCCTCCATGTGTTGCTAGCTATGCTGAAAACAGTTTTTCTAGATGCTACAATTGAAGAAATGTCTGTATTTGTGTTAATACAATGTAAATGTCCTAATATGCCTTATCAGTAATTTTACCTGCTATGGCTACATTGAGGTGCACTAAGAATGAATACTAGTAATTAAATTAGAAGCAAGCTGAGAAATCAGTATCATCATCATCATCATAGGTGTCATTTCATTATAGATTCAATCTTCTATGGAATCATTGTGTAAATGCTCTTGAAGATGGTAACAACTCCTCCCAAGACCAAGAAATGATTCTTTATCTTGTTTTACACTATACTAACTCCAAGTCTCAAACTTCTAGTTTATCTGTTAAGAATAAAGATATAAAGGATATTTCAAGGAGAATACTAAGATTGGCAGGGAATCTTCAAAAATGAAAGGAAACAGATGAGATTATTGGAAGCATATTAGAATTAATAATAGATTGATGCACATTTGGAGACTCTAAAATGAAAAATTCAAGTTTTTAAATAGACTATTTTTGTAGAGCTGTTTCAGATTCACTGAACTAAGAAAGTACTGAGAGTTCCCCTATTCCCCCTGTCTCTCCCACCCTCTCCATACACAAACTCCTTCACTATCAATATCCTGCACCAGAGTGGTATTTTTAATAACTTTTTTTCTAAAGAAGTTTGCAGTTCACAGCAAAATTGGGTGAAAGTTACAGAGCTCCTAAATACCCCCACCCCATACATGCATAGCTTCCTCCATTATCAACATACTCCACCAGAGTAGTCAATTTTTATAATCAATAAACTTATATTGATATATCATGATCACCCAAAGTCCGTAGTCTACATTAGGGTTCACTCTTGGTGTTGTGCATTCTATGGGTTTTGAGAAATGTATAATGGCATTTATACCCTCTTACAGTATTGTACACAATAGTTTCACTACTGTAAAAATTCTCTGTGCTCTATCTAATCATCCTTCCCTCCCACCAATCCCTGGAAACCACTGATCTTTCCACTATCTTCACCATTTTGACTCTTTCAAAATGTCAGAGAGTTAGAATCATGAAGTATGCAGCCCTTTTCAGATTGACTTCTTTCACTTAATAATATGCATTGCATTCAAGTTTCCTCCCTATTTTTAATGGCTTGATAGCTAGCTTTTTTAGCAAGAAATATTCCATTGTCTGGATATCCTACAATTTATCTGTCAAGTCATCTACTAAAAAAATTTTTGATTGTTTCCAGATTTTAGCAATTAGGAATAAATCTTCTATAAATCTGTGTGCAGATTTGTATGTAGACATGTTCTTAACTCATTTGGGTAAATACCAATGAGTGTGACTGCTGGATCACATGGTAAGCATATGTTTAGTTTTAGAAAAAACTGTCAAACAGTCTTCCAAAGTGGATGTACCATTTTGCATTTCCATCAGCACTAAATGAGAGTTACTGTTGCTCCGCATCATTGGCTTCGTTTGTGCTGTCAGTGTTTTGGATTTTAACCATTCTAATAGGTGTGTAGTTGTATCTCATTGTTTTAATTTGCAATTTTCTAATCATATATGATGTTGAGCATCTTATCACATGCTCGTTTGCCATGTATATATCTTGTATGGTGAGGTATCCATTCAGATATTTTTTTTTCTTTGAGATGAAGTCTCGCTCTGGTCCCCAGAGCACAACGGTGCGATCTTAGCTCAGTGCAACCTCCACCTCCCAGGTTCAAGCAATTCTCCTGCCTCAGCCTCCCAAATAGCTGGGATTACAGATGCGTACCACCATGCCCGGCTAATTTTTGTACTTTAAGTAGACACGGGGTTTCACCATGTTGGCCAAGCTGGTCTCAAACTCCTGACCTCAGGTGATCCACCTGCCTCGGCCTCCCAAAGTGCTGGGATTACAGGCATGAGCCACCGTGCCCAGACTGTTCAGATCATTTTTAATTGGGCTGTTCATTTTTTTATTGTTGAATTTTAAGAGTTGTGTACTTTGAATTTCCTCAAGTCCTTAATTCTTACTCAGATAATTAATCTCTGATATAATCATCCATATGTCTAAACTTTTGTGGATACTAACAATGTTATAATAAATACTCTTAATTGCTTCTTCTTATCAATATGTCTTCTGGGAATTTGGGTCTGTTTTTCATAGATATCTGCTTTATTGAAAAAAATTATATATTACGTGCAGCTTAAACTGACTAAGAAAATCACTGCTCTGCCCCAATAGGTAAAGTGAGGGGCAAAAAGAAAAAGAAATGGTAGATAAGATGACACGGAAATTCTTCCTGATCTATGTTCGTAAGTGAAAATTATCAAATTAAAGTGTACCTAATGATAATATATAAAGTAAAATGATAGCTCTTCTACAATTCCATTCTCATAGTCACCTGATTGTCTAAATCAGGGGTCCCCAACCCCTGGGCCATGGACCAGTACCAGTCCGTGGCCTGTTAGGAACTGGGCTGCACAGCAGGAGGTGAGTGGCAGGAGCTAGCATTATGGCCTGAGCTCTGCCTCCTGTCAGATCAGTGGCAGCATTAGATTCTCTTAGGAGCATGAACCCTATTATGAACTGCACATGCGAGAAATCTAGGTTGCATCCTCCTTGTGAGAATCTAACGCCTGATTATCTGAAGTGGAACAGTTTCATCCTGAAACCCCCACCAATTCGTGGAAAAAATGTCTCCACAAAACCAGTCCCTGGTGCCAAAAAGGTTTGGGATCACTGGTCTAAATGGCTTCCCTATCTGTTCAAATAGACAATTTGAGCTTAGGAAATAGCTGCATTTGGGTAACATAAGTGAGTACTTTATTTAAAAGACCATACACACATTACCCCAAACATAAAACACATGAGAGAAGGAGGCTCTGCTTTCTAATTTTTACTTTTTCTTGTTCTATAAAACTTTCTGGGAAATGTGAAGGATATCAAAATCGTACTGCATGCAGTTTCAATTGAAGCATTTGTTTACAAAAAGAATCCAGTTGTTCTAATGAAAAACATATGCTAAGTTGGATGGTGCTCTAGTAAAATAAATTAAGGAGGAATTCAATATGACCCCAAAGAAATTTGAGGAAAGTTATAAAAACATGGGAACATCTTTTGAAATGTCTTTTTAAATCACGTTGCTTTAAAATTTTTTATATTGTATAAGCTTATTTTCCCTTGTCCATGTTAGAAAAATGTTCTACTTCTCATGCCATAGGCACTTATATGGTTTCTTCTCATGTTTGAGATGTACATGCACCCACACAAATCCAAGACATCTAGAACACTCAGGCATTTGCACCCTTGTGGAAAGAGAAGCTTACTCAGCTGCAACTGAGAGTTCTATTTTCTTATAGAGGAACACATTGTTAAATTTCAAGTAAATTCTAACCCATTAGTCCTAGGAACGTATTATGACTTCAAAGAAATTAGAGGTAAGTCATAAAAACATGGGAACATCTTTTTAAATGTGGCTTTTTAAAGCAAGTTGCTTTCTTTTTTACTGGAAAGTAAAAAAGAGAAACAGGGATTCCTTGAGCAAACCTGTATGTCACCTGTCATATCTGGAGAAGGCTCTCTAGAGCTCAAGCTGCCTAGATACGTTGTTGTGAAAAAGAAAAGAATGCCTTCCCTCAATTATAGACTTCTTACTTACAAATAAAATGGATATCTTTGAAATACTTTGTCTGAAACAGTTAAAGGCAGTTTAGACCATGATAAGTCATCTTAGCCAGTTTGGGCTGATACAACAAAATACCACAGACTGGGTAGTACAAACAACAGAAATTAGTTCTCACAGTTCTGGAGTCTGGGAAGTCTGAGATGCAGGTGCCAGCACAGTTGGGTTGTGGTGAGGGCCCTCTTCTAGATTTACAGACAACTGTCTTCTTGTTGTATCCTCACATGGTGGAGAACAGAAAGGATGAGCAACATGTCATTTCTGTTCTTATAAAGGCACAAATCCCATTCATGACTGCTCCACAATCATGATATAATTACCTCGTAAAGTCCCCATCTCCTAATATCATCACATTGGGGGTAAGGATTTCAACTCGTAAATTTTGTCATTTATGCTTGACTAAATGACAAGCATTTAGTCCATAGCATAAGTTAAAGATGTATATATGTGGAAGTAAAATATAAAACAATAATTTTTACATTTCATCTAGCATAACAGGTAGATGAAATTGTATTGTTTTAAGTTAGACTGTGATAAGTTAAAGATGTATATTGTAAAATAAAAAGTGAAACAAAGAGGGTAGAGCTAATAAGACTAAAAGAAGATAAAATAGAATCATAAAATATTCATTAATACAAAAGGAGGCAGGAAAAGAGAACAAAAAATAGATGAAAAATAGGAAATAACAACTAAGATGATAGATTCAAATGCAAGCATATTGATAATTATATTAAATTTAAATGAAGAAATATCACAAAGCAACAACCTCAACTTCCACTTTAAGAAACTAGAAAAGGGCTGGGCATGGTGTCTCACACCTGAAATCCCAGCAGTTTGGGAGGCCGAGGTGGGTGGATCACTTGAGGTCAGGAGTTTGAGACCAACCTGGCCAACGTAGTGAAACCCTGTCTCTCCTAAAAATACAAAATTAAGCCAGGTGTGGTGGCTGGTGCCTGTAATCCCCGTTATTCAGGAGGCTGAGGCAGAAGAATTGCTTGAACCTGGGAGGCAGAGGTTGCCATGAGCCAAGATCACACCAGGGTACTCCAGCCTGGGTGACAGAGTGAGACTCCGTCTCAAAACAAGAAAGAAAATAAAAGAAAAACAAAACTAGAAAAGAAGAGCAAACAGAAACCTAAAATGAACACAGCAAAAGAAATAACAAAAAGTAATCAGTTAGAAAACAAACAAACATAAAACAAAAAAGAAAACCAATAAAACCAAAAGCAGTTTCTACCTAGAATAGTCAGGAAGAAAAGATACAAATTACCAATATCAGGAATGGAAGAAGTGATGTCACTACAGATGCCACAGATACTAAAAGGATAATAAAATAATCGTATTAAATAAAGTTATTACAAATTATGCCAATGAATTCAACAACCTATGGAATGGGAAAATTTCATGAAATGTACATAATACCAAAGGCTTATTCAAGAAGAAATTGAAAATCTGAATACCAGTTAAGGAACCTGAATTTGAAATTAAAAACTTTCCCACAAAGAAAACTCCAGGACCAGATAGTCTCACCGGTGAATTCTACTACATGTTTAAGTAAAGAGTAATATCAATTCTATATAAACTCTTCCAGGAAGTGAAGCAGATTAAATACTTCCAAATGCATCCTTTGAGGCCAACACTATTCTGATAGAACCAGACAAAGTCCCTGGAAGAAAATTAAACTACAGACTAATATAACTCATGAACATAGATACAAGAATTTTTAGCAAAATTTTAGCAAATTTAATCCCATAATAAAAAGAATAATACAATCTGACCAGGTAGCATTTATCATAGGAATGAAAGGTGGGTTTACATTTAAAAACCAACCAATCTAATTTACTAGATTAACAGATTAAAAAATTAACTATATGATCATCTCAATAGAAGCAAAAATGCATTTCACAAAATTCAACATCCATCTACGATCAAATTATGAATAAAAATGTACTTCCTCAACCTGGAAAAAAAATTTCTAAACAAAACCACAGCTATGCTTTTCTCCTGGAATCAGAAAAAAAGCAATTATGTTTACTCTTGCCACTATAATTCAACATTGTACTAGAAGTTCTAGCTAGTCTAGTAGGAAAGAAAATAAAATAAAAAGCATTCATATTAAAAAGAAAAACTCTTTTTATTCATTGACCACATTATCATTTACAGAAAATTTGATAGAATCTACAACAAAAGCTATTAGATTAAAAGATGACTTTAGAAAGGGTTGAAGGTTACACGATCATTATAAAAGTTATATTGCAGGTCGGGCATGGTGGCTCATGCTTGTAATACCAGCACTTTGGGAGGCCAAGGGGGGCAGATGACCCAAAGTCAGGAGTTAAAGACCAGCCTGGCCAACATAGTGAAACCCCATCTATACTAAAAATATAAAAATTAGCCTGGCATGATGATGGGCACCGGTAATCCCAGCTACTTGGGAGGCTGAGGCAGGAGAATCTCTTGAATACAGGAAACAGAGGCTGCCATGAGCCAAGATCACGCCACTGCACTCCAGCTTGAGTGACAGAGTGAGACTCTGTCTCAAAAAAAAAAAAAGTTACCTAGGCACAGTTAAAACCTCTACTTGCATTGAATCTACTACAATTCCATTAGCTAAAGCAAGTTACATGATCAAGTCCAACATCAATGTGGCAGGGAAACAACCTCCCCCACTTCTAGTGAATTGCAAGGTCAAATGAAAAAAAGAAAACGAATTTGTCAGTCTTTCATTTTGTCACAGTTATTCTCAGTTCTCTCATGTGCAGACACTAACCTCCATGCCCAAATCCCCCAAATTCTGTATCTCATGTACCCTATAAATATATACACCTACTGAAATGGGAAAAGTTCTCTTGCCCCCTCACAGGGTGTGTGACAGGGGAAGTGGCTCACTTCTTCAGTGTCCTGCTGCTCAAACCTCTAGGGGAGCATACAGATGGGCAGGCTGTGGGGCTCCACTCCACGGCAGTGTCTAGGGGTGAATGTTTACAGCTCCTGAAGCACCAGTGGGCATGTGTTAGGATGCTCTTTTGCTTTTGCTCTTTTAGTTTAGCCATCTGTAGGTGGCTTGAGTTAGCTCAGTTAGACCCCCTTCCTTATCACAAGGACAGAGGGCTTTCTGTATTCCAGGTTCTTGCCTTGGTGTACCAGAAGAATCAGGCTTGGAGAATGAGTGCAAGGTTTTATTGAGTAGAAGTATCTCTCAGCAGATGGGGGAGCCAGAAGGGAGATGCGTTTTCCTCTGGAGTCGGGCCACTCAGTGACCAGATTCTTCTCCCACCCCTCCGGCCAAACTCTGCATCGTTCCACCAGTTGATGACCTCTCTATGATCAGCTGCTTGTGTCTTCTGCCAATGTGTTCCCCATGACGTCCAGCCGCTTTTGTACCTACCTTGCTAGGGTCTTGGGTTTTTATAGGCACAGGATGGGGGCGTGGCAGGCCAAGGTGGTCTTGGGAAATGCAACATTTGGGCAGGAAATGCCTGTCTTCATCTAGATCTGTGAGGGTAGAGCCCTAGCCAGGGACCACACTCTCCTCTACCCAGCACTTCCCTTCCTCTCTTCCATATCATTTAAAGGGACCTCACTCTTCCCTTCCCAGCACTTCTGTATCACTACTTTGTAGTCACAAAGATTAAACATTTTTTAAAAATAAAATCTATAAAATCCCCAAACTTCCCATCCTTTGTAATGACAGCAAGTGTCATTACTATTGAGGACATCTGAAGTAAAGGATCTCCTAATCTACATCAGATCTAGATGCATTTTCATTAATAAAGAGTCCTATGAACTCTAAAAAGACTGTTCTCCAAATACCCACTATAACAACAGCGAAACAAAGACAAGGATACTTTCATTAATACTTGCACATGTTTAGGGCAATTCTCAAATCACTCCAGGCAAATATTTCCAAATCTCCCCACTTTGGGTAGGGATTTTTCCTTGATTCCATCTTTGTTTTGCACTCTGGGAGTATCACTCTGGTCCACTTTTCTAATCAGTTCTTGGCAATGCCCTTTTCAAGTTGTTTTCTTTTCTACTATTCTACTTGGCTATACTTGTAGATGGCATGGGTGAATATACCCTGACTTCTGGGTATATTATTTCCTGTCTGCAGAAAGGTAGGTTCACAGAAGTTTTTAAAATACATACATCAAATATTCATAGTCTCTTTTACTCCAAGTTGGTAGAGAGTTTGCCAGTAGAGTGCTCTCATAAACTTTGTGGAACTTTTATTACATAAATCTAGCCAATGCCAAGAGCCACAGGCTACACCTACAGTTCTTTTTGAGATATTTCTCTTTTTATTATAGGTACTTCATGTTTATGAGGCTTCTGTGAGACTATACTCTTAGTCTTTCTGTAAGCCATTATGTCTACATGAAAAGTAAGCATCATCTCAGTCCCTTCAGAAAACCTAATATAGAGGGTAACATCTTTGTTTCTTTTTTGTCCTGGGGCTGTTTCTTAATGTCGTTACTCTGACTTTGATGCTTGCCTTGAGGCAAGTCCTTTACATGATGATAAACAGCTTCGTTTTCCAATCATGCAAATCCTATAGTTTCTGAGCTTTTTATATTCCCTCTAATTTCTATTTGTGAATCAGCTAGTGCTTTTCTAAGCATATTTGTTTCTCATAGCAGCTTATTAAATATAGCTAGCAACAACCCAGTCACGTTATCAACATTCTGTTTTAAAATATCCTGACTTGACTTTTGGATTCTGATTGGAGACTTAAAGAGCTAGAAAGATCATCACTCTCAATTTCATAAGGAAAAAAAAAAAACACATCTGGATGAAGAGCAAATTCAAAACTTTCCTTGAACCCCTCAGGCCTGCAGGGAGAAATGAGGCAGGAGCACTGATTCATCTTGGAAAGATGCAACATGACACTGATAAGAAAAGTTCAGCTAGGCTGATTGGTGAGTTGGTGGAGGTTAGGTGTGTGTGCACTGTCAAGACAGCATGAAGCTCCCGTGTTGCCAGAGGGCTTAGGTGGGTCTCCAGATGCTGGTGAGACCCAGTAAGGAACATGGCTGTGCTTTGGTCAAGAATAGGCCAAGTTAGGATGTTTACATCCTGCGTGACTCAGCGAGTTCAGAGCACAGGCCTATAACTCCACTTGTTATCACAGCCATGTAGCCATAACATGGGAAGGCCATCACTTGGCTCTATGCCATTATTGCCTGTGAAAGGTATAATTGCCTCGTTGACACTGTGCAGGCGTGTGGGTGCCCAGAGAAAGAGAGAGAGAGTCAGAACTGTCCGTCTTTGCAGACAGACAGAGGGGAGCCAGGACACAGCTTGGCTTGTTCGTGCCCAGAGAGAGAGTTAAGCGGCTGATTCTCAAGGCAGGGGTGAGCAGGCCGCGCAGCTGTATGTGGGAGCTGCCAACTCAAACAGTCCACAGGGTGGACAGTGTGAGAAAGCTATTGATGAGAGCTTCTGCTGAATAAAATCACCTTCACCTGCCTACCGCCCCCAGAGCGTTCTTTCTGCTCATCCACCCACTCCCTCGGACTTCAGCATGGGTTGGACCCGGACCCCGGGATCTGACAATTAGCGATGAGGATGGGATGAGGTGAGTGGGTCTCTAGCCCCTGAGGCTCCCGGGTCGACTATGTGGCTGCAGCAGGGGCTGTGGTGCCCAGTGGCAGCGGTGTTGCTTGGATGGGCCCTAAAGGGAACGTGGGAGGCACGGGACGGGTCTCCCGTGAGCATGGAGAAGGCGCTGAAGCACCTGGTAGTGCACAGCACCAAGAAGAAGCATGCCTTTACCGGCAGAATCAGATGGGCGTTTGTGACTCTGCTGCGGGCAGTGCATGCCCAGTCCTTTTGAGACGCAGCGCAGGGAGGAAGAAGAACCTCTATTGCAGGCTCGCGTAGAGCATGAGCAGCTGTTGGGCCCCAAGGGTGGGCCCAGAGACCCCCTACTGTGGTGGAGGACACTTCCTATGGTGCCTGTACCCCTGCTGAGTTGCGGGAGTTAAGTAAGTAATGTCGGCAGTCATGTACAGACTTCGTGCAAGTCATCTGGGAGAAAGATGTTGCTGCGCAACCCAATCTGACCCGAGCATTCCAGGTCAAAGAGTACCTGCCGCAGTCGTCGGAAGTGAAAAGCCTTTTCTGTTTGATAAGAGACTGGCCGAGGGGTCTGGCTTGGTGGAAGGGGGCCGGGGGTCGGGCACGGGCACCGGACAACCAAAGGCCATCTGTGAACTTGGCAATCCACTGGTCACTGAACCCAGATAAGTTTCTGGGCAGAGCTGCATTTATTAATGGCTATGAAGACTGGTCAGTGAAAGTGAAGCTTGTGTCTTTGCATCTTGGAATTGTCAGCCTGGCTCTCTGCTTACGCACTGTGTGTGTCTCTCCCATGCCTGAGGACATTCTAGGGGTGGACGTTTTGCACGGCTTGGCAGCTGTGCTGTCTGTCACAGACTTAATGGACCATTTGACAACGGAACTGGGACGGTCCACAGGGAGCCAGGAATAGTTTTGCCCTCATGGGAAGGATGACAATGGAATTTCACCATGCTGCCACAGGGCTATTTGCATAGCCCATTTTATGTCATAGTCTTGTAATGTTATGTTAACCTGTAATTCTCTTGCAGGATTAAAAGTGGCAGTGCCCCTTTTTCCTGGGATTGGGATGATGAGGCTGAGACAGCCCTTATAGGTAGTAAACCAAGGGTGCCCATTTACACTAGAGTTACATGTAACCACAGATAGTTTCAGCAAGGGCCTATAGCAGTGCATAGAGTGCTTGAAAACACCAGTAAGCTTTTAGTCCCAATTGTGGAAGGGAGCTGAGCTCCTGTGTTTACTCATACAGGAGCAGTTAGTCATAGTAGGATGGGTGCGTTCATGGATAACCACCCCTTGGATAGGGAAAGCAGTTGGTAACTGCATATGCTGCCCTTCAGGCTCATGAGAGCATAGTAGGATGGATTACGGTCTTCATGCAGATGATTTACCCAGTAGCGGGATGGGTGCATTCATGTGTAACAGTCCCCACCCTGGACAGGGACGGCACAGACATCCACTTTAGTGAAGTGGAGCGCCTATTTAGAACAGTGAAGTACACTGAGTACAAGTCCCTTAGCAGCAGAGTTACAAGAGATCTTAGGGCCTATACTCTTAATACAAGATAAGGCCATGGGGCCTGAGGCACCCCTAGACCCTGAGACTTCACCGTTAGGAAGGGCATCCCCCCATTCCTAATAGGGCATTGTACACAGCTAGGTCTAGCTGGGTGCTACTGATGCCTGGACCGCTGGTGCAGTCCAGTCTAGTTTGAAACCAGATGTGGGCAAAGGTTTGAAACCAGGTGTGGGCAAAGTAGCTAATGAGCTCAACTCAGGGAAGTGTGAATAATAATCACCAAGAGGGTGACACCTATGGTAATCTGCGCCAATAGCTGAGCAGTTTATCGAGAATTATATATATTGGGCCTGCGTGCCCAAAGCCTATGTGTCAGGCCTGTGTGCCCAAAGCATGTGTGTCAAACCTGTGTATCAAATCTGTGCATCCAAAATCTATGTCTCCCTTTGCCTTGGGGCTGGAGTGTAAGGAATATGGCTGTGCTTTGGTCAAAGATAGGCCGAGGTAGGATATTTACATCCTGCATGACTCAGTGAGTTTAGAGCACAGGTGTATAACTCCACTTGTTATCATAGCCATGTAACCATAACATGGGAAGGCCATCACTTGGCTCTACACCACTATTGTCTATAAAACGTATAATTGCCCTGTTGACACTGTGCAGGTGCGTGGGTGCTCAGAGAAAGAGAGAGTCAGAGCTGTCCCTCTTTGCAGACGGAGAGAGAGGAGCCAGGACAGAGCTCGGCTCACTTGTGCTCAGAGAGAGAGTCAAGCTGCTGACCCTGAAGGCAGGGGAGAGCAGGCCACCCAGCCAGCTGTATGTGGGAGCTGCTGGCTCAAGCAGTGGAGACAGGGCAGACAGTGTGAGAAAGCTGTTGATGAGAGTTGAATAAAACCACATTCACCTGCCTATGGCCCCGCCCCAGTGTCCTTTCTGCTCATCCACCCACTCCCTTGGACTTCAGCATAGGCTGGACCCAGACCCCGGGGTCTGATAGACCCCCAGCCCTAGACAGTGTTCCAAGTCCTTGACTCCAATGCAAGAAAAATTCAGGGACAAGCCAGAATGAAGTGAAAGGCAAGAAGCTCTTACTGCAAAGCAAAGGACACACTGTAGCAGAGTGCGTACAAGAGAGTGAGTCATGTACAACAGAGTTTGGGTTTCTAATTTTATGGGGTCTTCTAACTGGGAGGTGGAATAATCATGAGGTCACCTAGGAAAAAGGTGGAGATTTCTTAGAATTGAGGTGCCACCCATTGTTATGCTAAATATGGGCATGCTCCAACCTGTCAGGATGCCAGTGAGTGTGTGATGTCGTATGGTAATAAACATACAATTAGATCTGGGGGTAGGGCATGGGTGAAATCCAGCAAGTGTTGACCCTGCTGGTTTCAAGCAGCTTAGCCCCCATCCTGTTTGTTAGGGTCTTATCAGCCAAGACTCGTCCATGTCCTTATCCTTGTAGCTAATTTGAACAGCCCCTTTCTTGCTGTTATGTGAAATTACTACTTGATATTTTCCTGCTTCCCCTGTGACCATCCAGCATTGCTATTCCACCACCCAAGGTTTTGGCTCTTTTCTCTCCTCATTTGGGGTTTTCTGTTATCCTGTAGTTTCTTTGCCTAGTTCTTGTTTTAGCAGTTGTTCAGGTTTTTCCATCCTCCTGCAACCACCCAGTGCTATTCCTGTCTCACCTGGAGGCAGTAAATAGGGAGAGTCCGAGTACTCTTGTAACCAAGCAACTTGGCTTCAAACCACATTTTAAAACTTTGTTTTCTTTCCTCCTTTCTCCCCAATCTCAAGATATTACTTTAAGACAAGCTGCGTACGTGTTACCTTCCATCTTGAAATACAGCCTCAGAATGTGCTGTGAACCTCCACTCCCTTTCTTCTCCCATTCTGTGCTCCCATGCCTTATGCACATTTATTTACCTAGCTGTAGGTTAAGCACACACCATGCTCACTTATCTGGTCATATATTTCCTTCAAAGCTTAAGGAAATATATTACCTTTAGGGTCGGATCCTGATATGGACCAGGCACTTCCGGAATTCTCTCTCCAACAAAAGATTACTTCAAGGCCAGAATTCACTCCTGGCTGAAGATTGACTACAAGACTAACTGCAATTAATTTATAACCTGCCAGTTATAAATAGAATCCACGATGGTACCAGCCCCTTCACCAGATGGAACAATAATTCAAGATAAGCCATCAGAGCAAGTCATGTCATGGGGCACCTCCTAGTGAAACTGCCACTGCAAAATTGTAACAGACAGTGAAAGAGATCTGGCCTAACTAACTCTATCTTGCTTCTAACCTCCAAGCTGTTCTTGTTTATTCCTGGGCATAGGCTGAACTAACTGGGAGGAACTTAGTTTATAGTTTAACACAGAGACAATAACAGCCTTTTCACAAAACAAACCTCCTTCTTGCCTGGGGACTAAACTGACTTTGTAGGACTAACAAATTAGCCACAAGATTAGAAATATGGTTTAGAGTCATGCAGCTGGAGACTACAAGATTCTAACCCTCCCTAAACTGCTCCTGAGATCAGTGCTTGAGATATTTTACAGACCCTGCAGTTGATGGATCAGCTGGCACCACCCAGATGGATAAACTGGCTCATGTGATCTTGTGGCCCCCACCCAGGAACTGACTCAGTGCAAGAGGACAACTTCAATTACCTATGATTTCATCTCGGACCCAACCAATCAGCACTCTTGACTCACTGGCCTCCCCTACCCACCAAATTATCCTTAAAAACTCTGCTCAAATCAGTCAGGGAGACTGATTTGAGTAACAATAAAACAACGGTCTTCCGCACAGCTGGCTCCAAATGAATTACTCTTTTTGTATTGCAGTTCCCCTGTCTTGATAAATCGGCTCTGTCTAGGCAGTGGGCATGGTGAACCCACTGAGTAGTTACACTAGCCCCCTGTGTCTTCTGCATTCCAAACCCTTTCTTTAAAATCCCCTGCAATCCCTCCAAAAATCAAAGAGTAGAATTTTTTTCCTGTCCTTCCCCTTGCTGGCACAGATAATAAAGTCTTGCTTCTTCTTTATCATATTTCGTTATTTTGGCTTGTTTCTGCAAGTGGCAAGCAGCCAGACCCTTTTGCTGGTTATGCTCTAACAGACATTTTCTCCACAAACTCCATCAGGCTCATAATAAAGATTGGGACAGTTCAGAGACAGGAAGACAAGCTGCTGTAGAAGGAAGAAACTCCACATGGTCCCCTCTCAACTCTCATACAGAATAAATGAGCCTTAAATTGTGGGAGAGGGCCAAACAAACACTGTCACCCTTAAGGCATTGGTGAATGCAACTCTCCTCACCTCATAAACATTGCAAATATAAAAAATATAATAAGGGAATGCTATGAATGCCTGTATGTCCATTGTATTGGTTTCCTACTAACAAATTATCACTGGGTAGTTTAAAACAGGATAAATATATTCTCTCACAGATCTGGAGACAAAAAGTCTAAAGTCAAGGTTTCAGCAGGGCCAGGCTCCCTCCTAGCTATAGGGAAGAATCCTTCCTCGCCTCTTCAAGGTACTAACAGTTGCTAGCAATTCTTGGCATTCCTTGGCTTGTAGTGGTGCACTGCTATCGATCTCTGCCTCCATGTTTACACAACATTCTCCATCCGTTTGTGTCTTTGTCTCTGTTTTCTCTTCTTATATGGGCACCAGTTTTTTTTTTTATTAGGGCTCACCTTAATCCAATACAAACTCATTTTAACTTAACTAATTACATCTGCAAGTACTCTGTTTTCAAGTAAGGTCATTTGAAGGTTCTAAGTGAACATAAAATTTTAGGAAATACTATGCAACTCAGTACAACCATAAATTTGGCAGCTTAAATGAAACAGACCAATCACTTTAAAGAAACAAATGACCAAAGGTCAATCAAGAAAAAATAAAAAGCGTTAGTACTCATATTTATAAAGAAATTGAGTTTGTTTTTAAAACTTCCAAACCAAAAAATAAAACTCTGAGCCAGATGGTTTCCCTGGCACATTCTATCAAACATTTAAGAAAGAGATAATACCTATTCTACAAAATCTTTCCCAGAAAATAAAAGAAAGACTTCCAAACTTGTTTTATGAAGTCAGGATTACCCTAATCACAAAGTGAGACAAGGGCGTAAAGGAAAGTACAGACCAATATTCTTATGAACACAGATGTAAAAATTTTCAAGAAAATATTAGCAGTGGCTCAGGCCTGTAATCCCAGCACTTTGGGAGGACGAGGTGGGCGGATCACGAGGTCAAGAGATTGAGACCATCCTGGCCAACATGGTGAAACCCCGTCTCTACTAAAAATACAAAAATTAGGTGGGTGTGGTGGCATACACACCCAGTAGCTGTAGTCCCAGCTACTCAGGAGGCTGAGACAAGAGAATTGCTTGAACCTGGGAGGCGGAGGTTGCAGTGAGCTGACATCGCTCCATTGCACTCCAGCCTGAGTGACAGAGCGAGACTCCGTCTCAAGAAAAGAAAAAAGAGTAAAGAAAAGAAAAGAAAATATTAGCAAATTGAATTCAGCAATATATAAAAAGATATGTCACAACCAAGTTTGATTTACCCCAAGAATGTAAAGTGGTTTCAACATTCAAAAGTCAGTGCAATTTGCCATATGAACAAATGCAAAGAAAAAACTCTATGACTGTCTCAATAGATGCAGAAAAAGCACTTTTTTTTTTTCTGAGATGGAGTTTTGCTCTTGTTGCCCAGGCCAGAGTGCAGTGGCATGATCTCAGCTCACTGCAACCTCTGCATCCTGGGTTCAAGTGATTCTCCTGCCTCAGCCTCCTGAGACTGAAAAAGGACGTTAGCTAAAGACTAAGGAAATGTGAATAAAATACAGACTTTAGTTTATAATAATTACTTGTATTGGTTTGTTAATTATGCTAACTGTACCATAATGATGTAAGATGTTAATAATAGGAGAAACTGGATGTGGGCAATATGGGAACTCTTGGTACCACTTTTACAATTTTTCTATAAATTTAAAACTATTTAACATTTAAAAGATTATTAAAAGGTTTTTGAGTTTATTAAAGTGTCCTATAATAATTACTTTTTTCTTTTGAGACAGTCTTGCTGTGTTGCCCAGGCTGGAGTGGAGTGGCCTGATCTTGACTCACTGCAACCTCTGCCTCCTGGGGTGAGTTCAAGTAATTCTCATGCCTCAGCCTCCTGAGTAGCTGGGATTACAGACATGCACCACCACACCCAGCTAATTTTTTGTATTTTTAGTAGAGATGGGTTTTTGCCATGTTGGCCAGGCTGATATTGAACTCCTGGCCTCAAGTGATCTGCCTGCCTTGCCCTCCCAAAGTGCTGGGATCACAGAAGTGAACCACCGCACCCAGCTGAAATGTCCTACAATGATTTTTTATTTAATTTTCCATTTATAGTTTAAAATTAGCTTGTCGAGCTTATTTTAAAATCCTATGGTGATGTTTTATTGGGATGGAAATAAATTTAGAAATTCATTTGAAAGAAATTAAACTCTGAAACTTTTCTTCCAAGAATATATTTCTGTAGTACTCAGGCCTTTGCTAAAGTTGATATTTTTCTGTATTACTTTTACTTTTCTTAATAGAACTTCCTTTTTCAGTTTCTAATCGTTATTTCTGTTGTATTTTTTTCTTTCTATTTTAGTCCTGAGGTCTCTCTCAAGAGAGTGGCTATAAACTCTAGCTCTGCCCTGACAGAGATCCAGGGAGTTTGGTCATAGATGTTTACAATGTGCCTTTCATGGGATACTTCTTTATTCTGGTGGACAGCCTAATGCCTATGTATTTGACCCATGACCACGTGTCCCTCTTACAGGACACTTGTTTATACCGGCAGAGACTCTATGGCTCTTATCTAACCTGTGTCCAGTTTATTTCAACCAAGAGACCCTCTCTCTAGGAGAGCTCTGGCTGAGTAAGAAGTTAAGTTCAGGTGTGTTGGTCAGGTAAGACACAGCAAAGGCAACTCAACAAAACATATAAAACAAAAGAAGCATTTTATTACTTACAGATCCCAGAGAGGAAAGGGCAGCATGCCTCACAGGACCAACAGAAAGCGGGCCATCCAGTAGGTGAGAAGCAAGAGAGAGTGAGAAATCTGTGGGCTGAAGACTTCAATGGGGTCCAGAGTATTACCCAAACAGATTTCCTGTGGGGAGTTCTAATTGGTGGGTTTGGAGCAAGCACACATGAGCTCCATCAAGAGGTAAATGAGAATTGGTCAATGCAGAAAGTCTGAGTAGTCCATGTGGGGCGTGGGTGGTGATCAGTGGGTCAAGTCAAGTTGGTTGAATCTTGCTATCCAATACAGAGGTGGTCACCAGGATGTGATTATATATGACAGATTTCTGGATCAGCCACATTGAAGAACTAGGAGGAGATGGAGAACTGAAAAATGTGCAAGATTGATTAAGCCCTGCTTTTGGTATGAGAAAGTTAAACCTATATTTAGAATGGATGTCAAGACAACATAAAATTATAAGAATTCACCATATCTGGTATACAGCAACAAAAAGGTTTGTTACTTATTTTGTGTGTTGGTTTATTTACTTTAGCAAATGCTCATTAGTTCTAATAGTTTGCTTGATAAACTTTTAGGATTCTTTAGATACATCATCATAACATTTTTTAAGTCAGTGTTTTTATTATCTCAAGTATTTCTTACTGATTTCTTCTTCGCTTATCTTTTTTCATACCTGCGAAGCACACATGAGACTGAAGTATTAGCCAGCTTATTGAAACCTTATTGAAAAACAAGAGACACACCTGAGGATGAAAGCATGATCCACAGATAAAGGGGCAGAAATGTAGACAAAGTTTGGGTTCTGTGGTAACATTGGTTTTTTTGTTTGTTTGTTTTTGTAAGACAGAGTCTCACTCTGTTGCCTAGGCTGGAGTGCAGTGGCACGATCTCAGTTCACTGCAACCCCTGCCTCCCAAGTTCAAGCGATTCTCCTGCTTCAGCCTCCCAGGTAGCTGGGATTACAGGCACATGCCACCATGCTGGGCTAATTTTTGTATTTTTTGTAGAGATGGGGTTTCACCATGTTGGTCAGGCTGGTCTCGAACTCCTGACCTCAAGTGATCAACCCACCTTGGCCTCCCAAAGTTCTGGGGTCACAGGGGTGAGCCACCATGCCTGGCCAGAGATAACATTGTTGACCCCTCAACCTGGACTACTTCTTTGCACATGAGACAAACATCTAATTGTTTAAGTCACTCTACATGGGTTTTCTTGTACCTTGCCTCTGAGTATGTTCCTACCTCAAAGACCTTATACTCATAGTACTAATCATTAGTGAATGTTAAATTTAATAGAATGCTTTTTGGTATCTACTTGTTCACTTTATATCCTTTTAAATCTTTTTAAATTATATGCCAAGTGTGTATGTACTTATGTACAGAGAGGAGGTAAAAGATAGATGTCAAATCTGTCTATATTTATGTGAAGTATTTTTTTGGTGAGAAATATCTGTCCTATGATTTTTTTTCTCACTTTAAGCTGTGAACATGGTCCTCAAACTTTCAATCTTGCTCCTTCCAGGCCCACGATAAACCAGCCAAACCCATTTACCACTGCCCAGGATCATATGTATATACTTACTATATACCTAAAGGTGATGACTAGAAGGGCTGACTGAAAGTCTGCCTTCTGAGAGTATTTCTTCTCACTGTCTTTCTGGGATGCCCTTGAGTGGAGATATATATCAGCACCATTCCATTTTTGGCTCTCACCAACATAGCAAGCTTAGTCATCTGTTAACCATGCCAGTGTTTTTCTTCCTATTTCAGGTGGTCCTAGCGAATCTCCCGTAAGTTTATTGGTGTAAGCTGACAGAGAGGCATTGGTGAATGAAAAGTAAATGACATAGGAATCTGGACCACCTATTTGCCCCAGACCACTGGACTCTTAAAAATGTTATTGATGTGGCATGCTGCCCCGGGAAGACTGTGGCGCTGTGGTGTGGCATGGGAGCCAGGTTCTTTAGTGGAAGAATGTGAAGTGAGGATGAATGATCCATGGAGGCAGTAAAAGGTGCCGCGAGGGAGACATGATTCCCAAAGCACCGAGCTGGTGGCCCAGCAACAGGTAATACGAGAAATGAAGCCAACAGGTGCAGACCCAAGGATCTTATCTCTAGCTGCTGAAGTTGCAAAAAGCCCTGAGTGGAATGTCCCTGTTATACTGTTGAAGTTAAAAGCCATTGCTGTGCAGGCTTGGAGCCAGGAGAAGATGCAGAGGAACTTTCCAATGAATTACTTCCATCAGCTGCAGAAAATTTTCTAGTTTTGGGGAGATAATGGCAAACATGTTTTATCAATGCAGCTAAGGCTGAAGAAAAAGATGAGTTACTAAAAATTGTGACTGATTGGCTCTTCTGGCTTTTGGGAGGCCATGTTGAACTTATTCAGAATGTACTACAAAGTGATCATTTCTTACACTTACTGCAAGTTGACAATGTCCAAATAGGATCAGCACTCATGATGATGCTACAGAATATACTATAGAGCAACAGTGGTGATTTACTCAGAACAGGAGGAAAAGCCGTGCATTCAATTTTAGATGAAGTTATTTTCAAGCTTTTTTCAACTCCTAGTCCAGTCATAAGAAGTACTGCTGCAAAACTCCTACTGTTGATGGCTGAATCCTATCAGGAAATTTTGATTTTACTGAGACAAAGTGCCTGCTACAAAGGACTCAGAAGTCTACTAAGTAAACAGGAAACTGGGACAGAATTCAGTCAAGAACTTAGACAGCTCATTGGCCTTTTAAGCCCAACGGTCTATCAGGAAGTAGAAAAGCAGAAACTACATCAAGCAGCATGCTTGATTCAAGCCTATTGGAAGGGTTTTCAGACAAGAAAGAGATTAAAGAAGCTTCCATCTGCTGTGATTGCTTTGCAGAGGAGTTTCAGATCTAAACGAGCAAAGATGTTGCTGGAGATAAATAGGAAGAAGGAAGAAGAGGACCTCAGATTGTGATTGCAACTTCAAAGACAGAGAGCCATGAGACTTTCCCAAGAATTGTGGCTGAGTATGCTCAAAGTAGTTCATCCAGGTCAAGTGGAGAAACACAATTGGGAAATGGAAGAGAAATCAGCACTGATTATCCAGAAACATTGGAGAGGGTACAGGGAAAGGAAAAATTTTTGCCAACAGAGGCAGTCTCTCACAGAATATAAAGCAGCTGTCATACTTCAAAGAGCAGTGTTTAAATTCCTAGCAAAGTGCCGTAAGAAACAGAAACTATTTGTTCCTTGGTGAGGACTCCAAGAACTCACTGATGCATGCCGAGCTGAACTGAAGCAACAAGCGGATGACTATGTCAGAAGACATTCGGGCTCTCCAATGTCAGATGTGGTCAGTAGCGAGCCCCATGCCCGAGCTTAAGAACGACTGCAACACTACTTTATGGGCAGGGCCCTGGAAGAGTGAGCCCAGCAACACAGAGAAGCTCTGATGGTACAGATCAGCACTAACGTTGAACAGCTAATGAAGGCACCAAGTCTGAAGGAAGCAGAAGGGAAAGAACCTGAGCTCTTCCTAAGATCCAGGCCTGTGGCAGCCAAGGCCAAGCAGGCCCATCTCACCACCCTGAAGCATATACAACCCACGCCGGTTGAAGAAGCTTGGGGAAGAATCTGGAGATGAGATTGATGTTCCAAAGGATGAGCTTAGTGTGGAATTAGAAACTTTATTCATTGGTGTAACCAAACCACCTAGTGAGTTACCCTAAGAATTGACACAAATCTCATATTTTAGGAGATTATATTGGTTCTGCCTCTGGCATGCTGGTAGACTAGGGCCATCTCAACTTATTGTTTTCCAGAGGTTCTCCTCCAGACAAGATTTGCAGTAAGCAAAGAGTTATACTCTACCTGTCTCTAAATTTTCTTTTTCTTTTCTCTGTATCCTTGTCATTGGCCACACACACACAGATTTGTGTGGCTTTTATTGTAGAACTAAACTTAGCATAGTGTTCTGTTGTTTACATGAAGTGTGAGTTTTCTTTTGTTTCTGCTGTTTTCCAACTAAAGATTTTTTTCTAAGTAAATATTTTCAACAATTGATTTGAAAAAATTTGTCAGGATTATTTCAGCTTTTCACATTTATTATCTGAAATTCCTATTTCCTATTAATGTAGGAGGTGGATGCAGACTTTATTAATATGAGGAAAAGAAATGCTCAGTTGAAGGACATTTCCCTATTTTCTATAAAACAATGGTTAAATTCATTTTCTATTTTGTTATTTCTAAAAGGAACTACATATAAAAATGCATTCTTTCTATTAAACTATGAGGACTATATAAAAAAAGTTATTGATGTGATAGAACTCTGTATCTTGTGGAATTTATCTCCCACATGTTACAGTACATATGTTCTAAAGGGCATCTAGAATAGTTGCCACTTCCTGTGCATGAGGCCAATTAATATAATGTCATCAATATAGTGACAGGATGTGTTCTTCAGGATTTCCAGATGATCAAATTCTCGTCAAACTCTACTATTGCTTAAGACCAAAAAGTTAACATAGCCCTAAAACAAATTGTAAATGTATACTGTTGTTTATACCAAGTGAACCCAAACTGCTTCTGATTGTTCTTTTTGATGGGGGTTTAAGAAGTATTCTTTTCAATAAGATCAATAAGTGCATAGTAAGTACAGGAGTTTGTGTGGATCTGTTTTATTAAAAATAGTATCACACATCAGTGGCAATGATGCTACTATTTGGCGAAGTTTGCAGTAATCCATTATCTCCCATCACAATCCATCTAATTTTTGTAGGAGACAGATTGTTGAATGAAATGGGAATACGATGAGAATAACTATCCCCCTACCTAAAAATCTTTAAGGGTAACAGTCATCTGCCATTTCACCTGTGATGTTGTATTGATTCTGATGTACTATCTTGGCTAGACATTAGGGGCAGTTTAATCGGCTTCCTTTTAGCCTTTTATACCACAATGTCCCGTAGTCAACAGGTCAAGAACCAATGTGAAAGTTTTACCAGCTACTAAGTAAATTCATCCCAGTATACTCACCGGGGCTGGGAAAATGATCACTGGGTGCATCCGTGGACACACTGAACTCTATGATAAGCATAATGGTTTCCAAAGATGTGCCCCCAAAGATGTCACTAGAACCTGTGAATATGGTTTCTTTTATGACAAAGGGGACTTTGCAGATGTGACTAGGGATATAGAGTCTGAGATGAGGAAAATGTCTTAATTGTCCAAATGGGCTTATCTAAGATAATCACATGAGTTCTTGAAGGTCAAGAATCTTTCCCAGTTGTGGTCAGAGAGAGACGCAATGACAGAAGAAAAGTCAGAAAGATGTATCTCGAGAAAGAAGGAGCCAGACGTTGTTAGCTTTGAAGATGGAGAGGGGGCAATAAGCCAAAGAATGCAGACAGCCTCCAGAAGATGGAAAAGGCAAGGAAACAAAACCTTCACTAGAGTATCCAGAAGGGAATGCAGCCTCCAACACCTAGATTTCAGCTCAGTGAAATCCATGTTAGACTTTTGGCCTACAGAACTCTAATAAATTTGTAGAGTTTTAATTCACTAAGTTTGAGATAATTTGTTATAGCTGCAATATAAATCTAATATAGTCCCCCTTTGGGGATGGACTTACCCCAGAACTTCATTTATCAATTGTCCTAGTGGCTTCACTCTAATAGGGGGTCCACGATGTCATTTTGTGTCTCCTGGCATCAATGCTATCTTGACCCCCATATCCAAAAATCCTGGAAAATATGAGAATTCCTCTTTCCCCAATATGTAGTTATTCTGGTAAATTACTACAGTGCCAAGTACGGAAGAACTGGGAAAATTGCTACCAAAGACCAAACAAAGTCTCGATTCATATGAATGCTGTGGTATTATAGGTCCTTCTTCAGTGGGAACTGGTCTTTCTTTCATTCCATGGTCTCTTATTCTAGATCCTCGCTCATATCTGGAAACTGGGAAAAGGATTTTGATTTAACTAGATGGAGTCCAATTGCTACAGATCCCTACGGGTTATAGACCTTTGGAGAAATGGCTGATCCAGAGGTGGGAAAAGGGAAGTATAAGTTTGCCCTGAAATATCTTGTACTAAAAAGTAAGGAAGTGTTCAAAGAATGACTGGGACATGTGAAAAGGACAAAGAGCCATGGTTATGTAAAATGTTGACATTAGAAAAGCTGGGTAAAGAGTATATGAGAAGTCTCTGTTCTATATTGCATCTCTTCTGTGAATATAAAATTTTTCCAAATGAAATGTTTCTTTAAAGTGGACATAAAAGCCAGGTTAAAGGAATTCCCACTGTACAAATTTGGGAAAGTTGAGCATCAAAATAAATCATGATATTAATATACTATAACCCGTATATATTCAGAAAGAAGGAAGGAAGGAAGGAAGGAAGGAAGACTGATTTTTCCTTGGAGTAGAATGCCAATTAATAACTATAGAAAGAACGATAGGATTAGAAAATCATAATTAATTCAGCCAAGAAACATCAATGGGCTGCCACACTAAAACAAGTGTGGCAAGTTTAATGAGGAATGGGATACTTACATCTCATAGCCCTATAAAATACTTATTAATTACAATGAGAAAGAAGAATACTTTTCAGTGGAAAAACCTTAACCAAGTGATCAAAGTTCACATCATTTGTAATGGGCCAAACTGACATGTGTCTTCCCCATACAATGCAAAGAGGACACAGGCTTATTTCTGTGACATTTCTGCCAAAGATGTGTAACCTCTATCTAATCATAAGGAAATATTGAATAATTTCAAATTGAGAAATTCGGATCATTTTATAAAATAACTACCATGTACCCTTCAAAATATCAAAGTCATGGAAGTCAAGCAAAGACTGAGGAACTTTTCCACATTGAAGAAAACTAAAACACATGAGATCTTAGATTGGATCCTTTTGCTAAAAGAAACATTACTGGAAGACTATACTTTCAGGGATCATTTCTACATTTCCGGGTAATTTCTTTGAACATGTGGAGCACCGGAAACCACCAGGAGGAGGCACAGCATTTTCTCTGGAGCGTGAAGCCAGTTCTTGGTGTTGCTGCATAGCAACTGCCATTTGCCTTTGATGATCATTCTTCTTTTCCTTTAGGAGAATAAGAGGGGGAGAACCCAGTCTGAGGGATTCCTGTTTAAAACAAACAAACAAACAACAACAACAACAACAAAAATTATTGGGACAAGTGTTAAAACTTGAATGGAGGCCGGGCACAGTGGCTTACGCCTATAATCCCAACACTTTGGGAGGCAGAGGCGGAAGAATCACTTAAGCCCAGGAGTTCAAGACTAACCTGGGCAACATAGTGAAACCTCGTCTCAATAAAAAACAAAAATAAGTAAAATTAAACTAAGATTAATAAAAATTTTTAAAAACCTTGAATGGACTGTGTAATCTAGATGATAGTAATATGTAAATGTAAGTTTCATTATTTTAACGGTTGTATGGTTAAGTAGGATAATCTTTTTGTTTGTAGGAAATACACTAAGGTATTTGGGTGTGATAGAGCAAACTGCTCCTAAATGATTCAGGGAAAATAAAATTATCTGTACTACTCTTACAACTCTTCTGTAAGTTTGAAATCATCATAGAATTTAAAAAACAAAAAACCTTCTGGTACCTAAACCAAAATGAAATCTTTTGGAATGGTTTCAGGACTGGCTAAATCTCCTCAGCCTCAAAGATGAGCTAATGGAGATAAGCATCTTACCTGAAATGAAACAAGTCTGCCCCCATCCCTGCAGGTGTACTCAAAGTCTAAGGGAAATGCAGATGTTAGAAGTTTTCTTAGACATGTCCCACTGGTCTTCCTTTCTGGACAGAAAAGCAAATTTGTCTAATTGCTTCAATGGAGCATATATTCCCGAAAGCTTCAGTGAAGAGAATAAAACATTTTTAGCTCTCCAATCTGAGATGTTTTGTGAAATGTTAAAGTATAAATTGTCCTTATTACTTCAGAATAGTTCTTTAGGAGTCTGAGATCAGATTCTCAGACTCCTACTGTGGGGTATGCCGAAGACTATCAAGAACTTCAGGATGACTTCACAAATGGAAAATGTACCAATTTAACAGGAATCCTGCCACTGTGTTTCAGCTTAACACAAGTTGAGGGTCACAGTGTCCTGAAGTCAGGATTGTGGTAGTGAATTACACATTTGTTTGGTGAATGGTCTCTCTCTTTCAGACTGGCCTCCCTGTAGGAATTATTTATGCAAGTTCAGAAGCAAGTTACAAGGTGAAGTCACAAAAGGGCAAATATTCTCAAGAACAGAGACCACTGACCAGCTCCTAATACTAAAACTAATCTTCAGAAGTAAGAAAAGAAGACTAAGAGATGAAGAAATAGAACGGAAGTAAGTCCTGACACTATTTCCTCATGGATACTTTAAGAAAAGGCAAGTACAATTTTAATTATTTAACTTTTTCTGTATTTTCTAACAATAAATTGTTTTTATTATCTATTAACCATAAAAATACGATTGACAGTTATACTTAATATAAGGGCTATATTTTCTTTGAAGTATTCCTTTGAAGATACTTCGTTTGAAATATCTAGGAAAAAAGAGGGGAATAAAGACAATTACATAAGAAAGGAAATACTAGACTGAAACATAACTTTAAATATAGTTGATAATAGAAACAAGCCAGATAATAATAGAAGTAGAATTTATGTAGACAAATAAAGTACTAAAAACTCATTCTTATAAAATTGCAGACTGTCAAAGTTCAGACTCCTGGATTCCCACACAGAACTTCTACCCAAACTTCAACAATCCTATATATTATATTCATCAGTTGTGAATTATTATGTCAGAAACATAAAGCTATACTAAAATTCTTCAGCTTTCATTTTTGGGCCCATGCTTAGTATTGTTAAAAACTTATTTGTAGAACATTCATGTTTTTGATATAAATTGTATGAATACAATTTATTTCAAAACATTTCCTTTGGCTGAAAACGCCATAGCCTTAAGAAAACTTTATTAAAAAGACAAAGTCTTTCAGACATTTGCAAAAATGCATCAGTAATAACCCTAATTCATCACACTGGATAAAATTTCTATCTGGTTAAGATTTCATCACTTCAAGCTAAAGCGGAAGGAGGTTTTTATATTGATATTGGAAAAGTCCTTGATTGTATTGGATGCCATTATTCTTATCTCTAAACATGAACTGATGTCACCATTTCTTTATATCAGTCTCAGTTTTGATAACAAATTGACTCTCTTAAACTTCTTAAGCAGATTGATAATTCATGCACTTCCTTGTATCCAGTGACTCTAATCTTAAACAAATGGAACATAAAATACTGAACCAATTAGCAAAATGAACTGTTTCTTAAACGTTTATAACAATCTATGGATCTTATTGTGCCTAAATAGATTAATCATTTTAATTTTTTTAAAAATTTAAAATTTCTCTAAAGTTTTCTTTTGCTTTCTAGATACACAAATTACACACACACACACACACACACACACAAACACACACACAGTGGCAATTAAATATTCGTGCCTTGAAAAGTGAGAAAGGATACAGATGTCCTTCTGCCTAGTAGACCTGTTTATGAGAGGTCCTGTAGACTCCCTGTACTCACTTGACTCCCAAATTCATTACCTCTATCAACCCAAATATGCTCCTTTTCCTTCTGTGTATCTACTTCATTAAACATCTGTGCAATCAGCCAGACACAAACTTGCAGACCCCGCCTCACCACTCTCCTGCCTCTTATCTGATAAATCTCCCAGTGCCGCAAATTCTCCCTCTAGCCCGGCTTGTTCATCTGTACACTTGCCTTTATTACAGCTCTCATACCATAGCAGATCACCACTGCTTTTCTCCTAGATTACTGCAGCCATCTCCTGTTTGTCTCTCATTTTCCAGTATCACTCTCTTCTAATTTGCTGCAGCTGGAGTTAGGTTCTAAATTCCAAATTCATTCATGTATCTACTTTAAATAACTCAGTACTTCTTTTTTGTTTGTTTGTTTTTCATAATGACAAAACTCCTTAACATGAGCTACAAGATCATGCATATTCTGGTCCCTATTCCTTAACTAGTCAGAGTGAATGTCATTCCCTCACCACACTGCATAGTACTGAGTTTTTAAAATTTCTCCCATGTGCCACATTTTTTCTTGCTTCTAGTCTTCTCATCATAAAGCTCTTATCTGAGGTACCACTTCTTTCAAGAACACATCTCTCATCTTCTGGGTTTCAGGTAAGTACCCAGACCACATCTACATAGTTTCCAATCACATGATATAATAATCTTCAATATAGTTGCCTTATTCTCTGAATCACACACTGGTCTATAATCTCGGTGAGGACAAAGATTGTCTATACTTTGTTTGTCAGATTACCCCCAGCATTTAGCACAGTGTCAATTATGTGGTAGACACTCACGTTTTATTTCTTCCCAAATATTCCCCTATCTTTCATTCTGTTCAAACAGGGAACCTGCAATTGACTAAACCATTAGAGTCTTTTGAATAAAGACTAGCTTAGAAAAGGCAAAGGAATTATAAATAAAGAGGTTATTGATGAAAAAGAAATTTAAAAATTAGGGAGACAAGCAGTATAGTTTATTGCATTAAGACAGGCAATAATAGGGACAGGAGAAATATGACAATAAGAGTACAGACAGGATAAGGCAGAAGGAACTTTTGAAGCACCTTCCCTTCACTTCTTTATCCCTAACAATAATGGGCCAAAAACTCACTTTATGTAGAGGACATAGTGGACTTCCCAGCTCTAGTCCGAGTACACTGCTTTGATGAAGCTGTTGACTAGAGATAAACACCACGAACGCCACATGTAAGCACCATAAAGTAACCCTTCTTCAAAGCCCAGCAGTTCTTGATCCACACATGTCAAAGAACACTTATGAGGAGTGTAATATTCAACCTTTGAGTGATTAATACTCTCAGACTAATAAACATCTTCTAAATTAACTCCTTTATCTTTACACCCATTTAGGGATGTTGTCGTTGTTGTTGTCATCCCCACTGGACAGATAAAAACACTAATTTAGTATAACTTGCCTAAGACCACATATCTACATACCAGGGCTGAGCGTTAGTTCAAACAAAGATCAGCCTGACCAAAGTGGACTTACTGATTGTTCTTTTTTTATTTTTAAATTATTTATTTATTTTATTAGAGACTAGGTCTTGCTACCTTGCCTATTATTCTTTACTTCCTTCCCAAGAACTGAGAACATAGAGACAGACTGATGATGGGAAAGAATCATCAACCTGGAGCTATCCATCAGCACAGTACATCCCGTGTTACCAAATATCAGAACCTATTTCATCTCCAAATTTTCATAGTAGTTCTTTAAAAATTGACTTGTATCCTGAGCCTAACAATTTCTCATTGCCTTAACAGTCTGATTGAGAACCAAAGCACTGTTGGCCCTGTGATTAGGACATATCTGGGCATGTCTAGAGTCAATTTGCCTGAAAGACTTAGAAAGTTCTGGTAAATAATTCAATAAATTAAAAACATACATTTATTTTGTTTGATGTCTGTCTTCTTAACCAAAATATAAGCATATCAAATACTAACTCATTAACCCTCCAAACAACTCTTTTAAAAACGATTATACCTATTTTACAAATGATAAAATTGAGGCACAGGGTGTTTAACTCATCCAAGGTCTGTTAGTTACTTAATAACATCACTGGAATCTAAAACCAGGATGCAGAGTCTGGGCATTTTACCACTGCACTGCCCTTGTCTCAACTATCTTGTTGTTTACACAAAGATATTTAGAAAAAGTTGAATGTGCGGGTCTGTATTTCAGAATAAAAATGTAAGAGCTATTGATTAGTAATCATCAGCATATGAGTGGTAGTTGAATCCAGTGCAAAGGATAATATCACTTAAAACAATGTTTGAAGTGGATTGCGTCCAAAGTATGGGAAGTATTAACCTTCAAGGTTTGTGCTGAGCAATCTGAGCTGTTATTTGATGCTGTTATTTGCTTTACATGACACATTGGCAGCATTTGATACTTTTATCTATTTCAATCTTGAAATGTTTTCTGGGGTTCAGAAAGAGTTAACAGGGGAATCAAAAAAAGAAAACAGTTTAATAAAAATAATGGAGGGGCAGCCAATATGGCTGAATAGGAACAGCTCTGGTCTACAGCTCCCAGCGTGAGCGATGCAGAAGACAGGTGATCTCTGCATTTCCATCTGAGGTACCGGGTTCATCTCACTAGGGAGTGCCAGACAGTGGGCGCAGGACAGTGGGTGCAGCGCACCGTACGCGAGCCAAAGCAGGGCGACGCATTGCTTCATTCGGGAAGTGCAAGGGGTCAGGAAGTTCCCTTTCCTAGTCAAAGAAAGGGGTGACAGACAGCACCTAGAAAATCGGGTCACTCCCACTCTAATACTGCGCTTTTCTGACGGGCTTAAAAAACGGCGCACCAGGAGATTATATCCCGCACATGGCTCAGAGGGTTCTACGCCCACGGAGTCTCACTGATTGCTAGCACAGCAGTCTGAGATCAAACTGCAAGGCGGCAGCGAGGCTGGGGGAGGGGCGCCTGCCATTGCCCAAGCTTGCTTAGGTAAACAAAGCAGCCGGGAAGCTCAAACTGGGTGGAGACCACCACAGCTCAAGGAGGCCAGACTGCCTCTGTAGGTTCCACCTCTGGGGGCAGGGCACAGACAAACAAAAAGACAGCAGTAACCTCTGCAGACTTAAATGTCCCTGTCTGACAGCTTTGAAGGGAGCAATGGTTCTCCCAGCACGCAGCTGGAGATCTGAGAACACGCAGACTGCCTCATCAAGTGGGTCCCTGACCCCTGACCCCCGAGCAGCCTAACTGGGAGGCACCCCCCAGTAGGGGCAGACTGACACCTCATACGGCCGGGTACTCCTCTGAGACAAAACTTCCAGAGGAACGATCAGACAGCAGCATTCGTGGTTCATGAAAATCCGCTGTTCTGCAGCCACCGCTGCTGTTACCCAGGCAAACAGGGTCTGGAGTGGACCTCTAGCAAACTCCAACAGACCTACAGCTGAGGGTCCTGTCTGTTAGAAGGAAAACTAACAAACAGAAAGACATCCACACCAAAAACCCATCTGTACATCACCATCATCAAAGACCAAAAGTAGATAAAACCACAAAGATGGGGAAAAAACAGAGCAGAAAAACTGGAAACTCTAAAAAGCAGAGTGCCTCTCCTCCTCCAAAGGAATGCAGTTCCTCACCAGCAACAGAACAAAGCTGGACGGAGAATGACTTTGACGAGTTGAGAGAAGAAGGCTTCAGACGATCAAACTACTCCGAGCTACAGGAGGAAATTCAAACCAAAGGCAAAGAAGTTAAAAACTTTGAAAAAAATTTAGATGAATGTATAACTACAATAACCAATACAGTGAAGTGCTTAAAGGAGCCGATGGAGCTGAAAGCCAAGGCTCGAGAACTACATGAAGAATGCAGAGGCCTCAGGGGCCGATGTGATCAACTGGAAGAAAGGGTATCAGTGATGGAAGATGAAATGAATGAAATGAAGCGAGAAGGGAAGTTTAGAGAAAAAAGAATAAAAAGAAACGAACAAAGCCTCCAAGAAATATGGGACTATGTGAAAAGACCAAATCTACGTCTGATTGGTGTACCTGAAAGTGACGGGGAGAATGGAACCAAGTTGGAAAACACTCTGCAGGATATTATCCAGGAGAACTTCCCCAATCTAGCAAGGCAGGCCAACATTCAGATTCAGGAAATACAGAGAATGCCACAAAGATACTCCTCGAGAAGAGCAACTCCAAGACACATAATTGTCAGATTCACCAAAGTTGAAATGAAGGAAAAAATGTTAAGGGCAGCCAGAGAGAAAGGTCAGGTTACCCACAAAGGGAAGCCCATCAGACTAACAGCAGATCTCTCGGCAGAAACTCTGCAAGCCAAAAGAGAGTGGGGGCCAATATTCAACATTCTTAAAGAAAAGAATTTTCAACCCAGAATTTCATATTGAGCCAACTAAACTTCATAAGTGAAGGAGAAATAAAATACTTTACAGACAAGCAAATGCTGAGAGATTTTGTCACCACCAGGCCTGCCCTAAAAGAGCTCCTGAAGGAAGCACTAAACATGGAAAGGAAAAACCGGTATCAGCCACTGCAAAATCAGGCCAAATTGTAAAGACCATTGAGGCTAGGAAGAAACTGCATCAACTAACAAGCAAAATAACCAGCTAACATCATAATGACAGGATCAAATTCACACATAACAATATTAACTTTAAATGTAAATGGACTAAATGCTTCAATTAAAAGACACAGACTGGCAAATTGGATAAAGAGTCAAGACCCATCAGTGTGCTGTATTCAGGAAACCCATCTCATGTGCAGAGACACACATAGGCTCAAAATAAAAGGATGGAGGAAGATCTACCAAGCAAATGGAAAACAAAAAAAGGCAGGGGTTGCAATCCTAGCCTCTGATAAAACAGATTTTAAACCAACAAAGATCAAAAGAGACAAAGAAGGCCATTACATAATGGTAAAGGTATCAATTCAACAAGAAGAATTAACTATCCTAAATACATGTGCACCCAATACAGGAGCATCCAGATTCATAAAGCAAGTCCTTAGTGACCTACAAAGAGACTTAGACTCCCACACAATAATAATGGGAGACTTTAACACCCCACTGTCAACATTAGACAGATCAACGAGACAGAAAGTTAACAAGGATACCCAGGAATTCAACTCAGCTCTGCACCAAGTGGACCTAATAGACATCTACAGAATTCTCCACCCCAAATCAACAGAATATACATTTTTTTCAGCACCACACCACACCTATTCCAAAATTGACCACATAGTTCGAAGTAAAGCTCTCCTCAGCACATGTAAAAGAACAGAAATTATAACAAACTATCTCTCAGACCACAGTGCAATCAAACTAGAACTCAGTATTAAGAAACTCACTCAAAACCACTCAACTACATGGAAACTGAACAACCTGCTCCTGAATGACTACTGGGTACATAACGAAATGAAGGCAGAAATAAAGATGTTCTTTGAAACCAACGAGAACAAAGACACAACATACCAGAATCTCTGGAACACATTCAAAGCAGTGTGTAGACGGAAATTTATAGCACTAAATGCCCACAAGAGAAAGCAGGAAAGATCCAAAATTGACACCCTAACATCACAATTAAAAGAATTAGAAAAGCAAGAGCAAACACATTCAAAAGCTAGCAGAAGGCAAGAAATAACTAAAATCAGAGCAGAACTGAAGGAAATAGAGACACAAAAAACCCTTCAAAAAATTAATGAATCCAGGAGCTTGTTTTTTGAAAGGATCAACAAAATTGATAGACCGCTAGCAAGACTAATAAAGAAGAAAAGAGAGAAGAATCAAATAGACGCAATAAAAAATGATAAAGGGGATATCACCACCAATCCCACAGAAATACAAACTACCATCAGAGAATACTACAAACACCTCTACACAAGTAAACTAGAAAATCTAGAAGAAATGGATAAATTCCTCGACACATACACCCTCCCAAGACTAAACCAGGAAGAAGTTGAATCTCTGAATAGACCAATAACAGGCTCTGAAATTGTGGCAATAATCAATAGCTTACCAACCAAAAAGAGTCCAGGACCAGATGGATTCACAGCTGAATTCTACCAGAGGTATAAGGAGGAGCTGGTACCATTCCTTCTGAAACTATTCCAATCAATAGAAAAAGAGGGAATCCTCCCTAACTCATTTTATGAGGCCAGCATCATCCTGATACCAAAGCCAGGCAGAGACACAACCGAAAAAAAGAATTTTAGACCAATATCCTTGATGAACATTGATGCAAAAATCCTCAATAAAATACTGGCAAACCGAATCCAGCAGCACATCAAAAACCTTATCCACCATGATCAAGTGGGCTTCATCCCCAGGATGGAAGGCTGGTTCAATATACGCAAATCAATAAATGTAATCCAGCATATAAACAGAACCAAAGACAAAAACCACATGATTATCTCAATAGATGCAGAAAAGGCCTTTGACAAAATTCAACAACCCTTCATGCTAAAATCTCTCAATAAATTAGGTATTGATGGGACGTATCTCAAAATAATAAGAGCTATCTATGACAAACCCACAGCCAATATCATGCTGAATGGGCAATAACTGGAAGCATTCCCTTTGAAAACTGGCACAAGACAGGGATGCCCTCTCTCACCACTCCTATTCAACATAGTGTTGGAAGTTCTGGCCAGGGCAATTAGGCAGGAGAAGGAAATAAAGGGTATTCAATTAGGAAAGAGGACGTCAAATTGTCCCTGTTTGCAGATGACATGATTGTATATCTAGAAAACCCCATTGTCTCAGCCCAAAATCTCCTTAAGTTGATAAGCAACTTCAGCAAAGTCTCAGGATACAAAATCAATGTACAAAAATCACAAGCATTCTTATACACCAACAACAGACAAACAGAGAGCCAAATCATGAGCAAACTCCCATTCACAATTATTTCAAAGAGAATAAAATACCTAGGAATCTAACTTACAAGGGACGTGAAGGACCTCTTCAAGGAGAACTACAAACCACTGCTCAATGAAATAAAAGAGGATACAAACAAATGGAAGAACATTCCATGCTCATGGGTAAGAAGAATCAATATCATGAAAATGGCCATACTGCCCAAGGTAATTTATAGATTCAATGCCATCCCCATCAAGCTACCAATGACTTTCTTCACAGAATTGGAAAAAAGTACTTTAAAGTTCATATGGAACCAAAAAAGAGCCCACATTGCCAAGTCAATCCTAAGCCAAAAGAACAAAGCTGGAGGCATCACACTACCTGACTTCAAACTATACTACAAGGCTACAGTAACCAAAACAGCATGGTACTGGCACCAAAACAGAGATATAGATCAATGGAACAGAACAGAGCCCTCAGAAATAATGCTGCATATCTACAACTATCTGATCTTTGACAAACCTGAGAAAAATAAGCAATGGGGAAAGGATTCCCTATTTAATAAATGGTGCTGGGGAAACTGGCTAGCCATATGTAGAAAGCTGAAACTGGATCCCTTCCTTACACCTTATACAAAAATTAATTCAAGATGAATTAAAGACTTAAACTTAGACCTAAAACCATAAAAACCCTAGAAGAAAACCTAGGCAGTACCATTCAGGACATAGGCATGGGCAAGGACTTCATGTCTAAAACACCAAAAGCAATGGCAACAAAAGCCAAAATTGACAAATGAGATCTAATTAAACTAAAGAGCTTCTGCACAGCAAAAGAAACTACCATCAGAGTGAACAGGCAACCTACAAAATGGGAGAAAATTTTCGCAACCTACTCATCTGACAAAGGGCTAATATCCAGAATCTACAATGAACTCAAACAAATTTACAAGAAAAAAACAAACAACCCCATCAAAAAGTGGGCAAAGGACATGAACAGACACTTCTCAAAAGAAGACATTTATGCAGCCAAAAGACACATGAAAAAATGCTCACCATCACTGGCCATCAGAGAAATGCAAATCAAAACCACAATGAGATACCATCTCACACCAGTTAGAATGGCAATCATTAAAAAGTCAGGAAACAACAGGTGCTGGAGAGGATGTGGAGAAATAGGAACACTTTTACACTGTTGGTGGGACTGTAAACTAGTTCAACCATTGTGGAAGTCAGTGTGGCGATTCCTCAGGGATCTAGAACTAGAAATGCCATTTGACCCAGCCATCCCATTACTGGGTATATACCCAAAGGACTATAAATCATGCTGCTATAAAGACACATGCACACGTATGTTTATTGCGGCATTATTCACAATAGCAAAGACTTGGAACCAACCCAAATGTCCAACAATGATAGACTGGATTAAAAAAATGTGGCACATATACACCACGGAATACTATGCAGCCACAAAAAAATGATGAGTTCATGTCCTTTGTAGGGACATGGATGAAATTGGAAATATCATTCTCAGTAAACTATCGCAAGGACAAAAACCCAAACACCGCATGTTCTCACTCATAGGTGGGAATTGAACAACGAGAACACATGGACACAGGAAGGGGAACATCACACTCTAGGGACTGTTGTGGGGTGGGGGGAGGGGGGAGGGATAGCATTAGAAGATATACCTAATGCTAAATGACGAGTTAATGGGTGCAGCACACCAGCATGGCACATATATACATATGTAACTAAACTGCACATTGTGCACATGTACCCTAAAACTTAAAGTAGAATAATAATAAAATAAAAAATAAAAAATAAAACAATAAAAAAAAATAATGGAATAGAAACAAAATAATCTTTATTACATTGTTGCTATGTAATATACTCTTCAATGTAATTACATACATAATTTAATTCTTATGATAGTCCTATAAGATATTTACTTTACCATGCCTATTTCACAGATAAGAAGACTGAGAACACAGCAGTTAAATATGTTGAATAAGGTCATATACCTGGTAAGGGTAGAGCCATGACCTGAAACCACATTTGATTTGAAAAATGTATGTTTGCATTTTGCAACAATTATTATAATATATTGCTTTAAGCTGTACATTTTGTATATATATATAGAAATATACATCCTATATATATGTTTTTCTAAGAAACTAGATTGTTTCATTATTATAATGCATATTTTTATCAAAGTAATACATGCAAAAGTTAAAGCAACATTAAGTACAGAAAGGTCTGTAATAAAAAGAAAAAATAATTTTTTTTTTTGAGATGGAGTTTCACTCTTGTCGTCCAGGCTGGAGTGCAGTGGAGCAATCTCGGCTCACTGCAACCTCTGCCTCCCAGGTTCAAGCGATTCTCCTGCCTCAGCCTCCCGAGTAGCTGGGATTACAGGCACCTGCCACCACACCCACCTAATTTTTTTTTGTATTTTTAATAGAGATGGGGTTTTACCATGTTGGCCAGACTGGTCTCGAACTCCTGACCTCAAGTGATCCTCCTGCCTCGGCCTCCCAAAGTGCTAGGATTACAGGCGTGAGCCACCATGCCCAGCCAGAAAAAATAATTTTATATAGTACCTTTCAACACTAAAATGCACACCGCAGTGATAAAATTTTTAACTTTCTATTTTAGTTTATTTTAATAATTCTAAATATTTTCTTATATCTTGATTTCTTGATCTACCAATTCCAGTATTTGTTGATAGTGCTCTGACTACCAGCTATCTTATTATTATTGTCATTCTTCTGTTGATTGTGTAACTTTTATGATATATTCAAACTTCTCTACTTTGTTTTACCACATTTAGAACTATTTCTTGTCTCTTTTGCTTTCCTTTAACCTCTCCTCCTATTGTACACCTCCAAGCTTTTGCCAGCAGTTAACTCTTTCTTTGTCAAAATTGATCTTAATTCTCTAACTTCTCTAAACCTTATCCCTGATAAAGAAGGAATCAGATTAGCAAAACTGGTGTAGAAAAAAGCATGGTTCTTCCCATGTGTCTGAAGACATTTCCACCCACCTGACACCTAAGAAAATTGATGTTCAGCAAGCAAGGAAAGAGTAGGAGTGAACAATAATATCTGCTACATACAGTGCTCTATTGCACATAATATATATTCTGCCTGTAATTATTGATTTAAAATATTTGCAAATTGCATACAGAGTTTTTACATGTTTAAATAATTTTTACTCATTGGTTATGGGTTATACATTATGTCACACCATTCTTCTAATAATTTTAATTATAATCCTTTCAATAATTGTTTTAATTCATACAGGCACACCTTGATTTATTGTGCTTTACTTTATTGTACTTTGCAGATATTGCATTATTTACAAATTGAAGGTCTGTGGCAACACTCTGTCGAGCAAGTCTATCAGTACCATTTTTCCAGCAGCATGTGCTCACGTCGTGTCTCTGTGTCACATTTTAGTAATTCTCACAATGTTTCATAGTTTTTCATTATTATTATATCTGCTATGGTGATCTGTGATTATATCTCAGATAAGTGATTGTGATCAGTAATCTCTGACGTTACTATTGGAATTGTTTTGGGACACCATATTTTGGGGCACAAACTGCATCTATATTAAGACAGCTAACTTAATTGATAAATGTTTTGTGTGTTCTGACTGCTTTACCAACTGGCCATTCCTCAATTTCTGTCCCTCTTCTTGGGCCTCTGTATTCCTTAAGACACAAAAATGTTGAAATTAGGCTGGTTAATAATCCTAAAATGGTCTCTAAGTGTTCAAGTGAAAGGAAGAGTTACATATCTCTCACTTTAAATCAAAAGCTGGAAATGCAAACTATCGCAAGGACAAAAAACCAAACACCGCATGTTCTCACGCATAGGTGGGAACTGAACAATGAGAACACATGGACACAGGAAGGGGAACATCACACATCGGGGACTGTTGTGGGGTGAGGGGAGAGGGGAGAGATAGCATTAGGAGATATACCTAATGCTAAATGACGAGTTAATGGGTGCAGCACACCAACATGGCACATGTATACATATGAAACAAACCTGCATGTTGTGCACAGGTACCCTAAAACTTAAAGTATAATAATAATAAAATAAAATAATAAAAATAAATAAATAAGTTTAAAAAAAAGCTAGAAATGATTAAGTTTAATGGGGAAGGCATGTCAAAAGCCAACACAGGCCTAAAGCTAGGCCTCTTGCACCAGTTAACCAAGCTGTAAACACAAAGGAAAAGTTCTTGAAGGAAATTAAAAGTGCTACACTACTAAACACATACGTGACAAGAAAGTGAAACAGCCTCATTGCTGATCGAAAGTTTGAGTGATCTGGATAGAAGATCTAACTAGCCACAATATTCCCTTAAACCAAAGCCTAATCCAGAGTAAGGCTTTAACTCTCATCAATTCTGTAAAGCCTGAAAGAGGTGAGGAAGCTGCAGAAGGAAAGTTTGAAACTGGCAGAGATCGGTTCATGACGTTTAAGGAAAGAAGGTGTCTCCATAACATAAAACCACAAGGTAAGTGCTAATGTAGAAGCTGCAGCAAGTTTTCCAGAAGATCTAGCTAAGATAATTGATTAAGGTAGCTACACTGAACAACAGGTTTTCAATGTAGAAAAAACAGCCTTCTATTGGAAGAAGATGCCATCTAGGACTTTCATAGCCAGAGTGTAGAAGTCAGTGCCTGGCCTCAAAGCTTCAAAGAACAGGGTGACTCTCTTGTTGGGGGATAATGCAGATGGTGACTTTGAGTTGAACCCATTGCTCATGTAGCATTCCAAATATCCTAAGTCCCTTAAAAATTATACTAAATCAACTCTGCCTGTGCTCTAGAAATAACACAACAAAGTCTGGGGATGACAGCACATCTGTTTACAGTATGGTTTACCAAATATTTTAAGCCCGCTGTTGAGACCTGCTGCTCAGGAAAAAAAGATTCCTTTCAAAATGTTACTGCTCATTGACAATGCATCTGGTCACCCAAGAGCTCTGATGGAGATATACAAGGAGATTAATGTTGTTTTCATGCCTGTTAACACAATATCCATTCTACAGCCCATGGATCAAGAGGTAATTTTAACTTTAAAGTCTTCTTATTTAAGAAATACATTTCATAAGGCTATAGCTGCCAAAGACAGTGATTCCTCTGATGGATCCGGGCAAAGTAGATTGAAAAGCTTCACCATTCACCATTCTTGATGCCATTAAGGATATTTGTGATTCATTGGAGGAGGTCAAAATATCATCATTAACAGGAATTTGGAAGAAGCTGATTCCAACACTCATGGTTTACTTCAAGACTTCAGTGGAGGAAGTAACTGCAGATGTGGTAGAAATAGCAAGAGAACCAGAATTAGAAGTGGTGCCTTGAAGATATGACTAAATTGCTACATTCTCATGATAAAACTTGAACAAATGAGGAATTGCTTCTTAGGGATGAGCAAAGAAAGTGGTTTCTTGAGATGAAATCTACTCCTAGTGAAGATGCTGGAATGTTATTGAAATGACAAAAAAAATTAAGAATATTACATAAACTTAGTTGATAAGCAGCAGAATTTGAGAGAATTGAATCAAATTTTGAAAGAAGTTCTGCTTTCAAAATGGGTAAAATGCTATCAAATAACATCATATGCTAGACCCTCCAACAGCAAAAAGATTACAACTTTCTGAAGGCTTAGATGATTGTTAGCATTTTGTAGCAATAAAGTATTTTTAATTAAGGTTTTTTTTTTGCTATTGCACATGTAATAGACTACAATATAGTGTAACTTTGTTTTCATATGCACTGGGGAAGCCAAAAATGGTGTGACTCACCTCATTATGATATTTGTTTTATTGCAATTATCTGGAACTGAAACCAAAATATCTCCCAGGTATGCCTGTACAGCAGTCCCCCCTTATCCACAGTTTCTCTTTCTGCGGTTTCAGTTACCTGTGGTCAACCCTGGTCTGAAAATATTAAGTAGAAAATTCCAGAAATAAACAATTAATAAGTTTTAAATTTGCACCATTTTAAGTAGGGTGATGAAATCTCACACCAGTCCTCTCCATCCCACCTGGGATGTGAATCATCATCCCTCTAAAATCCAGAAACTTTTGAAAGAATGGATATATCTTTCATTTGCTTAGAAAACTGAGTTTTGGAGACATTTTCTTCACTTGATTTATCTTCCCTACACCTCTTTGATGTTTCCTTCCATTGGAACCATACCAGCGATTAAAGAACTTGAAGCACTCAATTTACTTTAACTGAATGCAATGGCAGAGATTGGGTTCATGGGTTAATACGTTATCTTTCTGTTTTAGTCCCATCGTGTTTAGAAACTTGGATTAAGAGTCAAACAGGCCTAGGTTCAAATTGCGCATCTATAACTTCCTAGCTGAATATTTGTTGGTAAGTTACTTAATGCCTATATCCTCCAAATTCAAGTATGAGGATTAAATAAAGCAGTTGAAGAAAGCACTTAGCACAGTCTTCAGCACTAAGTAAGGGCTCAGTGATGTTGATAGTCATACATTCGTTTTCGTGAGTTTTGGTGAATGCCTTTCTCTCACTACACTAGAAATCAATGAGATCAATTACTACCTAGTTTAGTAGTTATTATATCTCTAGCATGTAATACAGTGTTTGTCATATAATAGGAGCTCTATAAATATTTGTTAAATATGAAATTATTCATCAATGTAAATATTTTCAGTAATTTTCATTTCAAAAATGATAATCTTATCTGAAATAAGGCTGTGTCAACATTTTATCAGCTGAGCCCTTTGAGAATCACTGGAGTTTAACTTGCAGTCAAAAGTTTTTTTCTTGGGCCATCTAAACAGCTATAATGAATTTAAACTGGCTAAAATTGCTAGTTTTTGCTAATAACACTGATAATATTCAAAATAGCATGAAAAAGATTCTCCTCTTGATCATGTATGACACAGAGCTGTCTTTCCTATTTAAATTATTATAATAATCTCTGATACCTGTAACATGGTTTATCAAGCACAAGGCACTTTACAAATATATATAATGGTGTGTAAATATATCAATACACGTGAGACCTTGATGTAGAGGTGGAAATGGAAAGATGATGTAGCTCCTTCACTTTCATCTGCCTCTCCTGGATCTGTTTTACACTTACATGGCCAGAAAAGAACGCTAGTTATAGTAGAAACTAGTTACAATAACTAGTTAAGGCGGTAACTGATAGAGTTATAAAGATCTTTATGTACCCAGGAAAGGGGTTACACTGAAAGCTGTAACTTCACATCAACCCTGTGAGGTAATGAAATTGTTTTTTAACAAGATGATAAATATTAATAGAATAATGAGCTAAGATCTTCTGAATCAAGCACCATATTTGTAGGTAGAGTACAGGAAGCATCTTTATTAACTTAAGGTGTTGAGAAACATCCTATTACAGAACAGGTCATAAATTTATCTTTGAGTGTTTTAAATTATCTGATTTTAGTGTCTTTGACACATTCAAAGGAATGACTTTTGAATTGATCTACCAGTTTGAAATATGAAAATTGATTTACCTATTTTTTTCTTGTTTAACAATTAGTTCTTTCTTGAGGGGAAAAAGCATAGATTTTGGAAAGCAACATGATAGCATTCTCTGTCAATGCATTAAAATTTCTAAATCAAGCTTATTTTTATAATTTATATCATTTTAAAATTTGATGAATAAAGAAATACAGGTCTGCCTCACAGATATATCCAGGTAAAAAGTATAATTATGAGCATATTTCATAACAGAAAGAAATTTTTAAAATATATTCACTGAAAACTTTTCATAATTGTATCTTTTGTAAAATTGCAGTTTTATAAAATAAGCATGTATTTGTAGGTAGGGAAAATAACTTCATGTAAACAACGAAGTAGAATTAGTGATTTAATCATTTACAAAAGGATGTATATTTTGTTATGGATTGAATAGTTGAGTAAAAATGGAAAGGTTGTGTCTTTTACTTCAGTGAGTAAGATGAAGTCAGCCATTACTCTTGTTTTCATTGTTACATTATAAGTGGCACTTTGGGTTCTATTTATAGGCTTTTCTATGATCTGTGACATGCTAGCTCAGTGACAAAAAAAAATTTTCCCACTTGTGAAAAGCTTACAAGCATCAAAAAAATCAATCAATGTTGCTGCTAAGAACATCAAATTTAAACAATATGAGACATCACTTTGGACCAAGTGATTGTCAGCAATTTGGGGGAAAGCATGCTGGTTAAAATACGGTAAAACAGGTACTTCCATAACCTCTCTATCAAGACCTTTAAAATATAGAAAATACCCTCAATAAGCAACTATAGAGAAAGGTTTAGATAAATTATGCCATGCTATAGGAAAATTATACAGACATTAAAGATTTCATTATAGATTTTTTAAACCAAAGTAAATTCTCACAATACTGGCTGAAAGAAAATTCAGAATATAAATTTTTTAACACACTGTAATTTAGGTTGTGTTAAATTATACATACTCATTTTTGAAAAGACTGAAATCAATAGTGCAAAGGTGATTGTTTCTGGAGTGTGGACAATCTTTTCCTATTCTTTATATATGTCTGTGTTTTCCAAATATTCTACAATGATCTGCATCTCTTTGGTATTTAAAAAGAAACAAAACATGCCAATAAGAGGAGATATTCTTCCCAAAATATATAATCTATGTCTGCACAGAATATTGAAGTTTTATGTAACTATTTTACATGATCTTTTTCTCGATCCATTTCTTACCCAGCTTCATTAAGAATATGGTGTGCTCCTATCGCTTCCCTTCAGGCAGGTACTGATTATCCACTGTCATGACCAACCAGAGCTGCCCAGAAACAGTTCATCTTACTGGGTTTCTCAGGCAGACCCAGGCTGGAGCATGTCCTCTTTGTGTTTGTCCTCATCTTCTACCTTGTGACCTTAGTGGGCAACATCATCATTATCTTGATCTCCCACCTGGACCCCTGCCTCCACATGCCCATGTACTTCTTCCTCACTAACTTGTCTTTCCTAGATCTCTGCTTCACCACCAGTTCTATCCCCCAGCTGCTTTTCAATCTAGGCAGCCCAGGCAAGACTATCAGCCACACGGGCTGTGCCATCCAGCTCTTCATGTTCCTGGGCCTGGGTGGCAAGAGTGTATTCTCTTGGCAGCCGTGGCCTATGACCGCTTCATTGCAATCTGCAAGCCCCTTCACTATTCTGTCATTATGCACCCTCAGCTGTGCTGGAAGTTGGTGTCTGTGGCCCGGGGGTGTTGGACTCCTCAGTTCTCTAGTTATGTCTCCTGTGACTATGAAGCTGCCACGATGTGGAAGATGTAAGTTGAAACATTTCCTGTGTGAGATGCCAGCTCTAATAAAAATCACCTGTGTGGACACAGTGGCTATGGAGAGCACTGTTTTCACCTTATCGGTAGTAATTGTCCTGATGCCTTTGTGTCTTATCCTCATCTCTTATAGCTACATTGCCCTAGCAGTGCTGAGAATCAAGTCAGCCGCAGGAAGAAGGAAGGCCTTCAATATGTGCGGGTCCCACCTCACCGTGGTCTCCTTGTTTTATGGGAATATTATCTATATGTATATGCAACCATGAAATAATTCTTCTCAGGACCAAGGGAAGTTCCTTACCCTTTTCTACAACTTAATGACCCCCATGTTAAACCCTGTCATCTATACACTGAGAAACAAGGATGTAAAAGGTGCACTGAAGAGGCTTGTGTCTAGAAAACACAGTGACAGTGACTGCTCTTGAGACTGCTTCTTTACTTATTTAATAGAAATAAATAATTCTTGAAGTGAAACTTCAAAATTCATTTAAATATTCCTACCTACCCAATACAAACCTACAGAGGCAGAACTTGGGAATACTTATTGTAAAGCCCTGAATAAAATGCTGATGACTAGTTAGATTACAGCTGAAATTTAATCTGTATAACATGTTGTATCTGACATGTCAAATCATTTTTTCTCCTCCTTTCCAAATTGACCACAGCTAATTAAAATCCAACAGAACCATAAATCAATGCTTTAGTACTGTGGATTGACTGACAGAAGTTATGCTTTGGAAAAATTATATGATCATCTTTCCCATTAGTAGTTTGTGTAATCATCATTTATTTCATGGAATTGAGCCAATGGAGTGCCAAAATACCTACAATATCTTCTGGTAGGTATAAATTTTGTTATATGGAAAAGATAGAACATTAGCTTAGACATGGTCTATGACATCATTAAAATTTTTGAGCTTAACACTGTTTCACTGATCAGCTGCATTAAAATTACATAAAGATATATATATGTGTGTCTGTGTGTGTGTATATATATATATATACACACACAGACACACATATGTTTGTTTCAAGTTCCAACCACAGTGATTGTGAGTTTTTGAAAGTCTGGAAATATTTTGTTGAAAAAGCTCCTTGTGAGATTCTAACATGAATATACATTTGAAAACAAATGATCAATTCAGAATCCTTTCATTTGATAGATTAGGAAACATTATCAAACAGACCACAAATAGTAGAGCTAAGAATTTAATACAAGTGTCTGAATACATCAGAATGAATATAAATGTTCTCACTTTTTAAATATAAATTTCATGTAAGGGGCTGTTAAAAGTGACAATAATAAAAGCGAGTATGAAAGCTGTGTGTTTACAAGTATGCATGCATACTCATTTATACACACAAGCATTATGGTGCTTGTGCAAAGATACACATGATTAATTTCTAAAACATATGGAATAATTGTGATTTATGATCCTATGTTTTCCTGGTAATAGAAGAAAAACAAACATATTCAAAAGTGTCTTCTCACTATGATTCATGCTAAGGACAAGGGTTCTATCCTACTGAGCCCTTCAAATAGCTACTTTATTTAAGTTACTTTTTCAATGAAATTTTCAAGTAGACATTGCTGAATAGGGCTTTGACACAATCCAAAACCCTAAATAATTTTATTACGTTGTTTTCTTTTTATTGGAGACATTTGTATTTATTTTATTAAAAAGCATATTGAACTGATATTATGGGCTAGGTGCCACATTAAGTAATATGCATTTGTGTCCAAAGAAAAAAACAATAGAGGCCACTTAAAAGATTGAAACCATCATTCTCAGCAAACTCTCGCAAGGACAAAAAAACCAAGCACCGCATGTTCTCACTCATAGGTGGGAATTGAACAATAAGAACATTTGGACACAGGAAGGGGAACATCACACACCAGGGCCTGTTGTGGGGTGGGGGGAGCGGGGAGGGAAAGCATTAGGAGATATACCTAATGTAAATGACGAGTTAATGGGTGCAGCACACCAACATGGCACATGTATACATATGTAACAAACCTGCATGTTGTGCACATGTACCTTAGAACTTAAAGTATTTTATATATATATATGAAAAAAATGAAAAAGAATTAGCCAGTTGTGATGGCACACACCTCTAGTCCCAGCTACTCAGGAGGCTGAGGCGGGAGGATCGCTTGAGCCCAGGAGACTGACACTGCAGTAAGCCACGTTCATGCCATGGCACTCCAGATTGGGCAACAGAGTGAGACCCTGTCTCAAAAAAAAAGAATGAAAAAGAATTTTCCTGGGGTAAAACTGGATAAGGTCAGTTTATTTCTTAGTTCAGAAAGTGTTTCTGTCTTTGGAGTGCTCCAGTTTCCTCTCTACTCTCACTCACATCACAGTGACAATTCTTGATTTGTTTTGTTTTGTTTTGTTTTGAGACAGGGTCTTGCTCTGTTGCCCAGGCTGGAGTTCAGTGGCACAATCACAGTCATAGTGACTGTTCTTACTGCTTTATTTTTTCCCCTCTTAAGACAACCTCCAAATCCAAAATGCACACTAAAAATGAATTTCAAACACCAGGTATTATATTTCCAACTATTTTCTAGCCAAAATCATCTATGTGATGGACAAATTTAACTTTTACAAATCAAACTCATCCTATGTAAAGCAAAATATTTCTTTATTTTGGTTCATCTTTTTCCTCCAATAGAAGAGGATTTTGCAAAGATTAAAAACATTAGAAATATATTTGGCTCCTACCTCTGCCTTCATCTGAAATCCTGCAAGGAGAAAACCATGTAGGCCCTAGCATGCAGCAGATACCCTATAAATATTTGCTGATAGAATGAATAAAAAGTCATTTATTAATCTTTTAAATTTTTTCTTATGAAAATAATTATATGATTTAAAAATAATAAGATATTTATCACTTCCTATAAATCTCTGCATGTCTGCATGGCCCACAAATTTGGGGTAATTCTGACATGAGAAATCAAAGTGGGAGCTCCAAAGGGGCCCTTACCTCACCTTACCTTACCTTGAGGTAAGGGTCAATGAGAAAAAATCCTGTCCTGCAAAAGGCAGAAAAGAAATTTCCCCATCTTGACCTTGAAGAATAAAATTAGAGTGGCTACTGGACAGAGGGAGGCTTTCCCTTGAAAATTATAATGTCAAGTCTCTCAATTAACATAGTTACAGCCAAAACTCACACTATGGGGTCTGAGAAATAGAAAATGTAATATAAAGTTGTCCTACCTTGATAAAACAACACCACAGTTAGTTTCTTTTTCCTCTATAAGTGATCTGTACTTTCTTTCTGAATGCTTTATAATTTTCTCTGTCTTTAATATTCTAAATTTAACTATAATATGCCTCAATGCGAGTTTTTCCTTATCTCTCTTTGGATTTCTATAGTCTCCTTTAAACAGAAATTTTCACTTTTTTTTCTTCCAAAACTGATCTTCATATGTCTTCGGATCTTTTCTCCTGTCCATATTCATTTATTTATTTATGAGACAGAGTCTTGCTCTGTCGCCCAGGCTGGAGTGCAGTGGCGTGATCTCGGCTCACTGCAAGATCCGCCTCCCGGGTTCACGCCATTCTCCTGACTCAGCCTCCCGAGCATCTGGGGCTACAGGCGCCCGCCACCACGCCCGGCTAATTTTTTGTATTTTCAGTAGAGACGGAGTTTCACCGTGTCAGCTAGGATGGTCTCGATCTCCTGACCTCGTGATCCACCCACCTCAGCCTCCCAAAATGCTTCCTGTCCTTATTTATTTTATGCTCATTCTTGGAGTCCTGTTATCTGAATGTTGACACTTGGACTTCTATCCATCCTATCTCTCCAGTTTACACTTCAGTTTTCTTTTACTTTGTGTTTTCCTTCTTTCTTGTATGAGATTTCTTCATACTCTCCAGTTCACCAGTTCATCATGCAGGTATAGCCATTATATTTGTTATCTACTTTCATATTTATTAAAACAAATATGTATTTTATGTCATTTCAGTTTGGTTTCATTAAAAATTTTTCTTTTACTTGTTTAATACTGGTAATCCATTTACTAGGCTCATTTGATATTTTTCCATGTTTTATTGGAATTTTAAATCTAGTATTTCTTTTTTAATTGAAATAGCTGTTCTGTCTAAACATTTTGTGATTTTTGGCCTGTGTGCTTATTTTCCTCTCAGTGTATTGGGTCCTCTCTATGTCATTGTGTATAAACGAAGACCAAACCCCACTGTGCCTCACCCACAAACATTAAAGCAAGGATGGCATGAATCCTGCAGTAGAGTGTTGGGGAAATAACTGCCTGAGGTTTGTTAGTCATAACCCTTACTCTTTTTTCTCAGCCCCTTATAAGCACAGGAGTACTGCTCTGATTTTATTCCTGAGGGTGCTTGGACCAGAATTACGTTCGTTGCAGTAGTAAGGCAAGCACCATGTGTGGTAAGACAGTAGCAGGGGAAAAGCTACAGCAGAACACTCACAATTAACCTTTTATTTTAACCTCTTATAATTGTGCTGGAAAGTTCTCTACCCCAGGTTCAACTACCATCCCACACGGCCAGTACCTCTGGCTTTCTTACAGTTTTATCTGTTTACCTTCTCTAGTTTTTCTGGGATTTAACTTGAGGGAGGCAGTCAGCATTCATCATAATTCAGCATCCTGTTCAGGACCAGACTCTGTTTTTTAGTTCCTTTAGTCTTTTATTTCTTGCTCATATTTTCAGAACACTCTTTAAGTACTGAAACATACTAATCATATTTACTTCATTTTATTTTACATTTTGAGACAGGGTCTGGCTGTGTCACCCAGGCTGGAGTGCAGTGGCACAATCTCTGCTCACTGCAGCCTCCACCTCCCCACTTCAAGCGATTCTCGTGCCTCAGGCTCCAGAGTAGCTGGGACTACAGGCACCCACCACCACGCCTGGATAATTTTTGAACTTTTTGTAAAGACTGGGTTTCACCATGTTGCTCACGCTGGTCTTGAACTCCTGAGCTCAAATTCCAAGGCAATAAATTAAGCAAATTGTCCTAAAGAAGAAGAATAATAGTTCAGATTTGATTTCTCATTCCTTGAAAGAAGAATTCCCTGTATCTATCCACTGAGTATAAGGAAGCATTAATAAATCAGGCATAAAATATAAAATAACTGAGATATAATATTGAACAAGAAAGTGAAATTATACAGTAATTCAGAGAGAAGCTCTAGGTTTCAAGGGTTGAAAAATCTGAGTGAAAGAAATAAACATAAAAGTCTTATTTATACGACAATCAAATGTAACTTCACAAAGCAGCCCTAGCTTTATCAGTAACCTGGTTTTAAAAGCCATACCAAAATTGCTTCCTGAAAAGAATCAGTTTCACATTCTTTTAAACTAATTGATTCTATTTTTCTTTAACACCTCTTTTCTTTCACTAGATTCCTTTTTAATGATATCTTGAGTTGGGTACCTACATGATTATTTTTATTCTTTCTTGTTTAGTAATAAAAGCAGTTTGACTTCTTCTGGAGGCATAAAATAGGCATTGTCAACACAACTTCATGGAGGAGGCAATGTTTTAACTGAACTATAAAAGTCAAAAAAAGAATTCCGTGTGTAAGGACATTCAAAGTGAAAGGAGCATCATAGGGAAAAGACAAACCATGAAAGCAGAGAAATAGGAGACGCCACATCAAGACACCACCATGCTTACACGTTGGCACTTTATTCTGAAGACCAAAATGAACTGCCAAAGAAGCTTAAACCTAAAATAAAATTATTGTTTTTACATATAAAGATGATTTTTCACATCTATATTTATGATCTCACCTTTTAAATCAGTATCTACTTTTGAAAATGTACATGTAACCTTCAACATGTACACAGAGAATAAGATAAACTAATTTATGTAGTTTTGTTTCAATCCTACACAATTAGAGTTGATTTTTACTCCATATTTAGATTTCCAGAATCCCAGCTCATTAATTTCATATTTATTAAGCATAAAAGCTTTAAGACCTAGAATGCATGGGACATGGAATTAAGCACTAGGGATAAAAGAAGAAGAAAAAAATAGGTCATGTCCTGGAGGAGCTCACACTCGAGGCAGCCAAAGATTAATTACCTTAGGCATTGATTAGTAATAATAATAATAATTAGTTAGAAAGTGTTATCGGATCTCAAAAAAGAGAGAAAATGTGAGTTTTCTTTGTAAAGAATATGACCCTTGAGCAAACTCTTGAATTAGGAATGGAGAGTTTGAATTGGAAATTAAGGCAGGATAATACCTTTCAGATGAAACAATGTAATAGAGTAATAGGATGTATAATAGAATGCTGGCCCCAAACTGGGACGGTAGATTTAAGTTGTGAGTTTGTTTCTACAACTACAGAGTCCATTGAATAAATACAACTTTATATATTAAAGGTGTGCTTTTTCTTTAAACTTGTAGAGAATAGTAATTGAGGCCGTTTTAAGCAAGGAAGTGATGTGATTATCAGTTTTAGGAAAAATAAATAATAACACTGTGAAAACTGAGTCTGTTCAATTGGAAGCTCTCTTAGAAGATGAATTTAATGGTTGGTTCACACAAAGGTAAAAAGATATTAACTAATATATTGATAACAAATGGAAAATATGTGCTGAAGAGTGAATGTATTCTAAAACCATGTCAAAGGGAGAATCAACAAAGCTTAGGTTGACTATTGGGAGCAAAACATAGGGAAGAATCAATAATAATTCAGGGGCTCTCACTGCAGTTACTAAGGATTTGGTATTGAGATTCTGGATATTTGACATACAAAGACAGGAACTGGTTTCAGAAAATCACAAGCTGAATTGTAAAACCATTGGAAATTTAGACTTCACAAATAAGCTATGTGTAGATAGCCAATATTCCATTTGATTTAGTATGGAACTCAAGAAGGAAGACTAAATTCTACATATGGATTGAAGATTTATCATATAGATAGATGTTAGAGCCAAGCAAATGGAAAAGTATCCCAGGGACAGTGTGGAGAGAGATGAAAAAAGAGCGAAAGATAGAACATGTGAAACCTAAACAATGAGGTTTGTCTCCAGTGAGAAAGAAAACTCAGAATCAGGGATCAAAGGAATAATAGAAAAAGAACAAGAGAGAAGTCCATGGATAACATAATTTCTTAAAAGAGGAGATCATCAAGCCCAAATTACATCAAGTGAGATTATGGGGTTAGCTTGTCTACTTTGTGTGATGGGAAGGATCCTGGAGATTCCACTGAAAGCAGCTTGACTAGAGTGGGAGAAGAAGGCAAATGACAGCATTGGGAAGTGTCGATGAGAGGAGAAAAAATATGGATGTTTTATGTCCTATCTCAAAGATTGTAAGTTAATGGAAGAGGAGAACTAGAAGGATATAAGAGGTAGGGAGGTTCACTTTCTATTTTTATTTTTCTGATAGGATAGACTTGGGCATATTTTTAGGCTATCAAGAAAGAGATAATGGATACCAGAAGGTGAAAATCAGATCAGATACAACTGGATGACACAGTCTCAAAAAATGGGAAAGGAATAGAGTTGATAGCACCATTGGAAAATTTATTTTTTGAGTGAAGCAATAATAGCACAAGCATATAAGTAATATGAAAGAGAAAAGGCACAGGAATCTGTGCTTAATTACTTCTTTTTTCTCTTTTTAAGTAAGAATAAATATTTCTGAAAATAAGGATAAAGAATTTAGAGATTGGCAAAAACAATGCAATCACTACTACCAGATGTGAGAAGTGGAAGTTAGAAGTTAGGTAGAGACAACAGGTTCGCTCCTAGGCACTGTTTGTTTGTTTGTTTGTTTGTTTGTTTGTTTGTTGAGAAGGAGTATCCCTCTGTCGCCTAGGCTGGAGTGCAGTGGCACCATCTCGGCGCACTGCAAGCTCTGCCTCCCGGGTTCAAGCAATTCTCCCACCTCAGCATCCCAAGTAGCTGGGATTACAGGCATGTGCCATCATGCCTGGCTAATTTTTGTATTTTTAGTAGAGACGGGGTTTCACCATGTTGGCCAGGCTGCTCTCGAACTCCTGGCCTCAGGTGATCTGCCCGCCTCGGCCTCCCAAAGCGCTGGGATTACAGGCATGAGCCACCGCGCCTGGCCGACTCCTAGGCATTTGGGCAGGGAAAGATAGACTATCTGATGTCAACTCTCCAGAGTCTTCCTCTTTGGCTGCTCCCCAGAGGCAGCCAAACTCTGGCTACCTGAACTGAGGCTAATGAGTTACATGGAGCAGGACACTCTTGGGGCCACTAAAAATAAACACATCCTGAAGCATCTCAGTCCCTAAAGCATGCACCTTGACTTTGGTGGTTTATAAAAATATCCCAGACATAACATTGGCCCCTTTAGTCATCGGCAGATTCCTTAGAATTCATTGATTCCAATTTCTGTTTACTTATAGATTCAACTGACCACCCTAATTTATACTCCCTCATATGCACTGAAATACACTTAAAAAAAGAGTGGACAATCTTCCTGGGAAAATCCTGGGGATTGCCTAACTTATAATAGCAGTAAATTTAAAAAGAAATGGTACTACCTTTAACAGAATCTGGGTGAGTAGCAATTTTCACTTTCCTTGCCTTTGACGATTAACCATTTTCAAGGATTATTCTCTCTGAGGGTGGCATATTTTAAAGCATGCTTTAAATATGTGGATCTGTATTTATCTACTTTATCCTCTAACTCTGTTCTGTAGTTTCATAGCCAAACCCACCAGTTGTTAATCACTGAATGTACCATATTTGGAGAACCAAATTTCATGTGGTTTCATATTTTTGATATTAACCTTCTCATCAACATGCCCATCTTCTAGTTTCATAGAACTATAGTGGTTCTTCTAAAACCATCTTACTTCTTCTAGAAGATAGTTGAATGTCTGTAATCTTTGTCATTCTTCTGTGAAAGATGAGTCCAACACCCATTCAATTGCTTCCTAAGCCAGCTGAGATGGTGTGTTTCAGTCTTGATCCCTTAAAAATGCTGATGGTACTCCCTATAGAATTGATGTCTATGCATGAGTTTGCTATTTACTTAGAGTAAGTTTTAGACTAGAAGAGAAATCTGAACTCTAGATTAACTGAACACCCCTACACTAAAGAAGTGAATGGATAAGTGTGCAATCTGTAATGGTGTTTTAGATCTGTTTTGTAAAGAGTAATAAGGATATGTATTTTTTAAAATGCCATCATCGGAGAGTTACCGCCAAGTGAGGGGAATCAGGTTTCCCTATTACTGTAGACTTCCACTATTCACACACGAACAGAAATGAGAGGAATAGCAATATTATCAATAATAATCTTAATGATTATCATTATCATACCGTACCTCATTTATGAACTTGGAATAGAATAGCATTCATATCTGGATCTTAGGCTTACCACTGGGTAGCAGGGATTTATAATAAACAATCATTACAACTTGGCAGAAGATATGATTACATTATGCTATTGTTATGAGTTGAACTGCATCCCCCAGAAGATATGTTCATGCCATAACTCTCCAGTTTCTGTGAATGTGATCTTATTTGTAAATAGGGCCTTTGCATATGTTATCAAGTTAAGATAAGGTTACACTCAATTTGGATGGGCCCTAACACAACATGCCTGAACACAACATCCCTGAAATCCCAGCAACTGGAAGGTGGAGACAGGAGGATCTCTTGAGCCCAGGAGCTCTAGGCTGCAGTGAGCTGAAATTGTGCTACTGCACTCCAGCCTGCCTGACATTCCAAGGCCCTGTCTCAAAAAAAAAGAAAGGAAGCAGGAGGGAGGGAAGGATGCAAGGAAGGAAGGGAGGGAGGGAGGGAGGGAGGGAAGGAAGGAAGGAGGGAGGGAGGGAGGGAGGGAAGGAAGGAAGGAAGGAAGGAAGGAAGGAAGGAAGGAAGAAAGGAGGGAGGGAGGGAGGGAGAGACAGAAAGAAGGAAAGAAAAAGAAAGAAAGAAAGAAAGAAAGAAAAAAGAAAGAAAGAAAGAAAGAAAGAAAGAAAGAAAAAAGAAAGAAAGAAAGAAGAGAGAAAGAAGGAAGGAAGAAAAAAGGGGGGAGGGAGGGAGGAAGGAAGGAAGGAGAAAAGAAAAAGAGAAAGAGGGAGGGAGGGAAGGAAGGAAGGAAAGAGAAAGAAAAAGAAAGAAAGAAAGAAAGAAAGAAAGAAAGAAAGAAAGAAAGAGAAAAAGAAAAGATAGACACATAAAAGGAGAATGACATATGACTGGAGGCAGAGATTGAAGTGCTGCAGGTGCAAGCCAAGGAGTGCCAAAAATTGCCAGAAAGCCATCAGAAGCTAGAAGGATGCAAGAAAGGATCATCCCCTTCAGGTGCCAGAGGGAGCATGGCCCTGCTTACACCTTGATTTCAAACTTCTAGCCGTCAGAATTGTGAGACAATAAATGTCTACTATCTTAAGCCATCTGAGTACTGGAACTCTGCTATGGCAGCCCTAGGAAACTAATACAACCATATTAACATTTATATTAAAATAGCTTATGTTAATTTAATTCTACCTTTGTGGTTACAATGAACTATACATGTAGCTTATCAGAATATATGCTTTTCTTGGTTCAGATCACTCTCTGTGCATCACTGAGAAGAACAAAATCATTTAAAAGCATGTTCTAGACTAAGCTATGAGGCATTTAAGTGATCTCTGAGAGAGAATAGACCACTGTACAACATTGTAAGAGGCTTCAACTGGGTGCCATGGTGGACTGGAGAAGCTCTTTCTTTATGATCCTGAAATCACAAGGATAGAGGGAAGAAGCAAACATAAGCGCGAACAACAGTTGATGAAGCCAGTTCTGGGAGTTAATGCCAGGCTTGTAATTCTGGGCATCTTGAAACACAGCCTGATAATCTGGAAGACATAGAAATTAAGAACCATGCTGTCACTGAAGAATGTGCTAGAACTGAGGAATGCTGATCCAAAATATGACATTAAAGCTATTGGAACATAAACCTACCAGGTTTTAGCAAAAAGCTAAAAGCTAGTAACATTATCTTTTTTATATGGAAGGAGAAATAGCTAGGAAGTAGAGGTCAGGGTGCAGACTTCAGAACCGCAAAGCTTATTCATGGCAGATTTATACTTAGAATACAAGTATTCTGATTCATATTTTATTGTGTTTTAAAATTTATTATTCAAAATTAGTTGCATTCTTTGGCACTGCAGTAATAATTGCCACTGAAGCAATCATTGAAAGCATTTGTAATAGAAAGAACCAGGAGCACCAGAGTGCAACAGAAAAGGTGCAATAGAGAGAAGGCAAATTTCTATAAACTCTACATTCATTATCTATAGCCTACTATACTTTTTAAGTTTCTCCCATATTTTTATTTATCCAACAATTTTTTGTGAGTCCACCATATGCCAGGATTGTTTCTAGCTTATGGTGAATATGTAATATCTTATGATGAAGATAGTAATATATTTAGTATAAGATATTACCTTGTTTAGGTACTGTTTACTATTAAACTTATACCATAGTGTGTCAGCAGAATGGGGCGATGGTTAGGAGGGAGAGAAATTTCTAATAACAGGTCCAAATTATTTTAAGAGAAAGGAGGATTATTTTTGTGAAATTAGATCTAATTTGTGGAGAAATTCAAGTTATCTTTCAAGTTCATGCAATCATGAAAAGGCAGGGCCCCTAGCAGTGAAGAAATTGTGCTAGAGTCAGTTTAAATCCTGCCCCTGGCATTTATTGGGTGAGTCAGACTATGAAAATTACTGAACCTCTTTTCAGTTTCATCATTTATTCAACAGACATAATGATATTGCCAATCTTGTAAAGTCATGAGAAAATGCATACAAGGTACTGAGGCCAGTGCCTGCAAGCTGGAAGACACTCATATATAGTACTAATAGCTATTTATCACCCCCTTAATTGCCAACAAGAAAGAGACTGCAAAAACACCTCAAGCTCCCAATCAAGCTCTATTGACCTATGCTAGGAAAAAAGACATGAATTAGACACACTAGATAAAAGTTAAAAAGCCTCTTAATTCCAACAGGTAGAGTACAATGGAAAGAGCTAACGACAGCACCTTCTCTGGATTCATCCTCCTGGGCTTCTCCAACAGGCCTCAGCTGGAAACAGCTCTCTTTGTGGTCATCTTGATCATCTACTTTCTGAGCTTTCTGGGCAATGGCACCATTATACTTTTATCCATTGTAGATCCTCGCCTCCATACCCCTATGTATTTCTTCCTCTCCAATCTCTCTTTTATGGATCTTTGTTTGACCACTTGTACTGTCCCTCAGACACTGGTCAACTTTAAGGGGAAGGACAAGACCATCACCTATGGTGGCTGCGTGACCCAGCTATTCATTGCCTTGGGACTCGGGGGGAGTGGAGTGTGTCTTATTGTCTGCCATGGCCTATGACCGCTATGCAGCCGTCTGCCGCCCACTCCACTACATGGTGAGCATGCATCCCCAACTTTGCTTGCAGTTGGTTGTAACCACTTGGCTCACAGGGTTTGGCAATTCTGTGATACAGACAGCATTGACCATGACTCTCCCCCTCTGTGATAAAAACCAAGTGGATCATTTCTTCTGTGAAGTTCCAGTGATGCTGAAACTGTCCTGCACCAACACCTCCATCAACGAGGCTGAAATCTTTGCTGTCAGTGTCTTCTTCTTGGTGGTGCCTCTCTCACTCATCTTAGCATCCTATGGTCACATTACTCATGCAGTCCTGAAGATAAAGTCAGCTCAAGGGAGGCAGAAGGCTTTTGGAACCTGTGGTTCTCACCTCCTGGTAGTGATCATTTTCTTTGGGACACTCATCTCCATGTACCTCCAGCCTCCCTCCAGTTATTCACAGGATGTGAACAAAAGCATTGCACTCTTCTATACTCTGGTGACTCCTCTACTGAATCCCCTAATTTACACTCTGAGGAACAAGGAAGTCAAAGGGGCAACTAAGAAGACTAGTGGGGAGGACCATAGATGCATGAGAAAGTTAACGCAGGGTTTGCAGTTCCAAACATTTGTGCACTAGAAGACTGCTGAGAAGCTACAAACTAGTTTTAACTGAATTCAACAAATCTTCCTAAAGCATCTACTGTGTACCAGGCACTGTTTAGGTACTTGAGATATACACAGATATATAGATATCAGTGAGTGAAACAGAGACCCCTGTCCTCATGAAGTTAACCTTATGGGGAGAGCATAAGTTAAGTAAGATAAGCTAAAATTAAATTGTGGTATATGATGTATTGGAATGCTATACAATAATGACAAAAAACTGTAAGTACATACAACAATGTGGATAATTCTCACAAACACAATGTTGAGTTAAGCCAGATACCGTATATAACATATGATTCCACTCATGTAAAAGGCAAAACCAGGCAAAACAAATCTGTTGTTATGCAAGTCAGAATAGTGGTTCCCTTGGGGAGTAGTGATTGCAAGGATAAATCGGAGATGGGGGTTATGGGATTCTAATCACATTCTGATTCTTTATCTGAATGCGCGTTATATATGATATGCAATTTGTGAAGTCATCAAACTTTACACATATATTCACACATAAATGGATGAGAATTGCAGACAGGAGAGGAACACATAATGTATCTGCAGTATCTTTACATATGTTATACTTCAATATCATCTACATTTAAAATTTTTATATGAGTCAGTAATCAACCGAATACTATGGTACTAAATAATCACATTAAGCATTTTTTTTCCTTTCACACAAAGAGTGAGTTTACATTGCAGTTGATCTAAGTTAATTCTTTCCGTTGAACTGAACTACTAGATACTAAGATGTTTTTGATATTAGTAATATTTAGCCAGACTAGAATGAACCCTACTTAACTTTCATTGAAGATCTCTATCAAAGATCATTTCTGCAAGGAGTTTCTGGTCTCCTGTAAATTCCATGTAGATCCTAGTGACCAGTTCTTGAAGCAAATATACAGTGATAATTTTCAAATGAAAATTTTACTACTAAGTATTTCAACTGCCATGAATTAACTATAGTATGACAGAAAAGGAGGTTTAGAGTGTGCTTGTGTGTATGTCTGTGTGTATATGAATGTTTGAACTCTAAAAAATCCACAACTTAGTAAAAACCTAAAAATATTTTCACTAGCCAGAGATTTCAAGATATTTAAATACTGGATGGCATATACATAAAATAGCAGGTATTGAAAGAGATGTAAAACAAAGTAGAAAACAGAATCAAATTATTATTTGGTAAATTCAATGTATAGTTTAATCTTCTTGATTATTTCTTATTTTGACAATGGCAAGTTTGAAGGTTTGTTAATGTATTACTCTGCAAGTGAAACGATGAAGTGGCAAAATTTTCTTTACATAAGTGAAAATTGATTAGTGAATCATTAAGTTCCCTAATGATCTTCTCTCCACTTGTATTCAATAATTTTGAGTGATTTCTTATTATTTTATGAGTGCAGCTCCTAAGATATGATTATTTTAATGGCAGTTCCTTGGACTTTTAAACCATAACAGCTAGCTTCATTGATAATCATATCATTTTTAAGACACGAAGATATCAGACTCTATGTCCTCCTAGACGTTTGCTTTTCCCTTTTCAGAAAACAAACATTGCTTCCATTTTACTAGCTCAATTTCTTATCCCATTCAAGGTGATCTTTTATGACTTCCACTTCTAGGGAAGATGTGCTTGATTATAGCAGGCCATATTCCCACTGCAAGTACTCGAGAAAGTCAAATAAAGTTTTAGCAACTGTATTTTTAAAGACATCATAGAGTTGCAGGGGTGACAAGGGTGAGATGGATGAGAATTGCAAACAGGAGAGGAACATTCTGAACTGAGCTGATGAGCAAAAGCGTTTGTCCCTATAGGGAGAATTTACCAGGTATGAGTGTGAGCTAAGGATTGGGCTTGGCCCAGACAGAGGGCCTTTGCCAGGAGAAAAACAAACAAACAAACAAAAACAGCATTGTTTTCACATAAGGCTGGAATGAGAAATTGAAGACTTAACAGACCTCAGATACGTGGCTGGATGTTTCCAGTGGACATTTCCATTTGCAGTGCACTGTATAGAAAGTAGGGAGCTAGACAGAAGCTTCAAAAAGATAGGGTAAAACTGCTTGTAGTTTCTTTGTTTTTAGGGAACAAAGACTTACCAGGGAAAGGAGTCCTGTCTCTATCACACAGCTTTCCTCATTATGACATTTGCCAAACTTTGAAGCTGCGTAGAGCAAGACACAAAATAGCAAAGCTGAATATTGTTGCAGGGCAGAACTTAACCTCTCAGAGTTGTTCAGGGTAGAGGAAATAAGACTTCTCAGACTGTCAAAATCCCAGGAGGGAGAAGAAGAAGGAGCACGAGGTAGACTGCATCTGTCTACAACTCAGCCTGACCCTACTTGTTCCTAACCAAGGAATGGAAGGACTCTCCCTGGTGCAAGGTAACACCATCTGGAGCCTCTGTGGTTCTTTTATACACCATGTCTTGACTGTGATTAAAAATTACAACACATGAAAAGAGGGAAAATCATAAGACTGATAACTGAGGTAGGGAAATGCCAATAGATGAGAAGTGACAGATGATTTAGACAGTGAAGTTAGCAGCCTAGGACTTTAACATGGCTACAGTTAAGACATTCAAGAAAAACAGAGGACAGGATAGAAAAAGTGATGAGAGGATGAATTTCATAAGAGAACTAGTATCTACATAAACGAATTGAATGGATGTTACAGAAATGACAAATACAATTTCTATCACCACAATCTCTCCAAATATGGTTGCATAATGGACTTCTAGATGTGCTCTGGGAACATCCTTCTCATGATTACACATACGAGGCTTGAGGGCGTTGTCAACAGACAAGATAACTGACCCATTAAAACTGGTGAGGTTTCATACTTTTTATCTGCAATAACAAATGAGCAGGATTTCAATTTTTCCTCCAATTTGGAAGTAAGTAAATTTGTGATGGGATAGTGAAACACAGAAAATTGCTTTCTCATGACCTGCAGCACTAAAAAAGGGTGAAAGCATGGTGGTGTGCACCTGTAGTCCCACCTACTCGGGAGGCTGAGGCAGAAGAATCGCTTGAACCTGGGAGGCAGAGGTTGCAGTGAGCCAAGATCATGCTACTGCACTCCAGCCTGGGCAACAGAACAAGACTCTGTCTCAAAAAAAAAAAATCCGATCATGGTGGCTCACACCTGTAATCCCAGCACTTTGAGAGGCTGAGGCGGGCAGATCACCTGAGGTCAGGAGTTTGAGACCAGCCTGGCCAATATGGTAAAACCCTGTCTCTACTGAAAATACAAAAATTAGCCAGGCGTGGTGGCATACGCCTGTAGTCCTAGCTACTCAGGAGGCCGAGGCAGGAAAATTGCTTGAACCTGGGAGGCGGAAGTTTCAGTGGGCAGAGATCACGCCAGTGCACTCCAGCCTGGGCAACAGAGCGAGAGCCTGTCTCCAAAAAAAAAAAAGGTGACATTAGGAAAAGAATAAAAAATTCTGTTGGAAACCAAAAACCAATTTAAAAAAAAGTTCTGGGCTTCCTAATACAAGCTTAATTTGAACACGAGAGGAGAATTTATAGAAAAACCAGTAGTGAAGACCAAGAATCTGATCCATTAATAAAAGCCAGCATCTGATGTTGAAAGTCCCATGGCTAAGGTATTGCACTTGGTTGCTAGAGGGCCTTGGGATGGAGGCACTGCCTCAGCACATGACAGTATAACTGTGCAGAGTCAGTTATTCTCTCACTGCTATGGTTTACTGGTCTATAAATAGCATATGATGTCACTTAAAAAAATTAGATATAATTCATCTCTTTCATTTCTCTTATTCTTCCTTTTTAAGGCCAGATTTTTGCTACTGTTTAAGGCAAAAATGTCTTAATACAACCATTTACACAGCTACTAAATGAGAGTGTTTTAGCATTATCCTTTCTACAAACACAACCCCTCTTCATGATCCAATTTCAATCCAGAGCCTGAAAGAATGGTACTTCTAAACTTTTTGACCTATGTGAGTCTATTATGACAACAAAAACAGTGTAATTTGTTTCATTAGCTTCCATGGTGCAAGATTCCATCAACAGCAATTTTCACGACTTCTGAGTAAGCTGTGTGGTTTTTTTTCCAATGTAACATGCAGAAATAAACTATGGTAAGACATTCATGTGTGTATACTTCGTATTTATTTCAGAAAACACTGGAATTAGATTATTTTTTAAAGCATGTAACTTTGAAGTAGTATTGAGCTAAAGGAAACATATTTTCTTCTACTATTCATTTTCAGCAAAGAGTTAAGAGATTGACCTATGAGATTACCCATGAATTTCATGTTCTCTGTATATATGCAACCACATGTGTAAATGTGTATGTGTCAAAGAGATAACTTACTTATAGACATTATTTAGGGCCAAATACAAACCAAAATGTAACATTCTGTGGAGGAATATGAAGACAAATATTCTTTGGACATCATAAGGATGCTTCTTTCAAGATGGGGAACGAATCCAGACAGAGATTTACGTCACGCTAACAATGGCCAAGACACTCCCTTAAATACATTAAAACAAACAAAGTTTTCATGTCTTTAGATATATTAATAAAGTAACTTTCCAAACAGTATCTTGCAGGACTGTTTGACAGTTTCCAAATACCTGAAATAGGACTTTAAAAATATTTGGTAAGTACTATTTGTGGCCTGCTAACCCAGAATCAGGAGTGGACTCCTGATAATGGCTTTGACACTTAATAGTAACATCCCATTGATTGCGAATATCCCAAGTAACCCAATCATTAGAAATGTCCAGTATGCTTCATTGAGACAAAAGTACAATAGCTGAATAGCTTCACACTCAAAGAGGTTAAAACTATTCCCAGAAATGTTTCCCTAATACAAAAGAAAAAAAAACTTGCAGGCTTTTGAAGACTTAGCAGATTGTATTCAGTTCAGAATGGTTAAAGTAAATCCTCTAAACAATGTAAATCAATAAACTTTTTACAAAAAAAAAAAAAAAAGCAAATTGTGTCCACTCTCTCTGGTAATCTCAAGAACTCCATCCCCTGATCCCTCTGATTCAAGTCATTCATCTTCTCTTTTCTACATTTATGCATATCCCACCTTTCTAGTAAATCACATTTCCAAGACATTTCCATACATTTCCCAGAGTCTTTCAGATCAGGTTTTAAAATATGCTATGATACTAAAAAGGAGGAAGAAATTTCTCAGCTATGCAACACAAAAGCATCAGATTGGAAGTCACCTGCAAAGGAAATGATTAACACCAACCTATAATGTGGTCTTCCCTTCTCGATGATGCTGGCCAAATCAGAACTCTGGCAAATAGTAGCTGCTGAAATTTGCGGAATAGGAGATAAATGAGGGTCTTATACGAGTTGCTATATACTGCTTACTGAGCTAGTAATGTTTTTAGCAGGATGCATATGATCTATTTAGCCTGATTATTATATAAATAAACCTAGAATATACAGACTGCAGTCTGTATATTATAATATAAACAATAAAATTTAAGCCAGGCGTGGTGATGGTCACCTGTAGTCCCAGCTACTCTGGAGGCTGAGGTGGGAGGATCCTTTTTCAGCCCTGGAGTTTGAGGCTGCAGTGAGCTATAATCACGCCACTGGAATATGAAATCAACATCTCTGGAGGGTGAAATAAATTCATGAACTTAGATTTTAATTACTTGTTTTCCTTAGAGATTTATGTAAAGAAATTTCCTGGAGAGTTGCAGGGGAAATTTTGGATGACACATGGAGAACGCATACATCTTAAGGGCTCTGGCATTCAAAGTTCCTCCACTGCAATGTCTTTCTCTCCAAGTCATCTGGAGTCGTAGTTCTTCCAGAGCACCTTCTTAAGTGCTCCTTTCACATCCTTGTTCCTCAGTGTATATATGAGGGGGTTGATCATGGGTGTAATGATGGTGTAGAAGAGAGAGATGAACTTGCCCTGATCCTGAGAGTAGTTGTTGCCGGGCTGGAGGTAAGCATAGATAGCTGTGCCGTAGAACAGGGAAACCACTGTGAGGTGGGAGCCACATGTCCCAAACACTTTTCTCTGCCCTGTTGCTGACTTTATCCTCACGACTGCCCTGACAATCTGACTATAGGAGAATATGATTAATGCAACAGGTACAAGAAGAATAATGACACTGACAAAGAAGAGTTCAGATTCATTCATAGTAGTGTCAACACAGGCAAGCTTGAGCAATGGAGGAACCTCACAAAGAAAGTGTTCTAATTTATTTCTTCCACAAAGTGTTAAAAGCAAGATGAGCACCGTCTGCAATAGGGAGTTGGCAAAACCAATGACCCATGAAGTAGAAGCCATCAGCACATACAGACAAGGGTGCATGACTACTGTGTAGTGGAGGGGCCTGCAAACAGCTGCATAGCGGTCAAATGCCATCACTCCTAAGAGAACGCATTCTGTAGATCCCAAGCCTAGAGAGATGTACAGCTGAACTACACAACCACCATAGGAGATTGATTTGTCTGCTCCCCTGAGATTAACCAGGAGCTGTGGAACAATGCCGGTTGTGTAACACAGATCCAAAAAGCTTAGGTTGGAGAAGAAAAAATACATAGGATTGTGAAGATGTGGGTCCAAGTGAGATAATACAATGATGGTTTTGTTCCCCAGCAAAGTGAAGATATAGAAGATCAAAAAACCACAAAGAGGACTAGCTCCAGCTGAGGCCTGTCAGAGAAACCCAGTAGGATAAATCCAGTGAAAGAACTTCCATTTTTCTGATCCATTCTTTGTTAGCACATGTTTTCTGTCAAACCCAAGCATTTAGCAAATTTTAAAAGGTATCTTGTAAAACAAAAGAAAAGGTGAACTCTATCATTTGTACAAGACATGGCCATGGGATTTTATATGCAACTACTTTAATAAATGAGGTACTCATTGAGACCAACATATACCAATTTTGTTTACATTATTACAAAAAGTAACATAATTGCTATTTAACACAGGAAAATTAAATAAGGGACCTTGTGTGTGTACCAGTCATAGGCATAAAATGTCTGTTTCAGATTGAATTTAATACTATTTAAAGTATTACAAGAATATATGTGCATTTTAGAGAAAATGGAGATGAGGGAAAAATGGAGAGAGATCAGAAAGAATGAGAGGCGGAGACAGAGGAGAGAGGTTATTTTATATATATATAGTTATATATATAATTATATATGCTATATATAACTATATATATTAGTTACATATGACTAATATATGTTATGTCTAATATATCTAATATATATTATATATTAGTCATATATAACATATATAATATATATTATATATAAGTCATATATGACTTATATATAACATATATATTATATATTAGTCATATATGATATATGTAATATATAATATAGTAGATATAATATCTCTAATATATTAGATATAACATACATTAGTTATATATTATATATTAGTCATATATAACTTATATATAATATATATTATATATATATCAAAGTTATCAAAGAGATAACTTACTTATAGACATTATTTAGGGCCAAATACAAACCAAAATGTAACATTCTGTGGAGGAATATGAAGACAAATATTGTTACGTCACGCTAACAATGGCCAAGACACTCCCTTAAATACATTAAAACAAACAAAGTTTTCATGTCTTTAGATATATTAATAAAGTAACTTTCCAAACAGTATCTTGCAGGACTGTTTGACAGTTTCCAAATACCTGAAATAGGACTTTAAAAATATTTGGTAAGTACTATTTGTGGCCTGCTAACCCAGAATCAGGAGTGGACTCCTGATAATGGCTTTGACACTTAATAGTAACATCCCATTGATTGCGAATATCCCAAGTAACCCAATCATTAGAAATGTCCAGTATGCTTCACTGAGACAAAAGTACAATAGCTGAATATTGACTAATATATATGACTAATAAATATTGACTAATATATGACTAATATATAATATACATTATATATAAGTTATATATGACTAATATATAATATATATTATATATAAGTTATATATGACTAATATATAATATATAACTAATGTATGTTATATCTAATATATTAGATATATTATATCTACTATATTATATATTAGATATATTATTATACCTACTATATAATATATTATATCTAATATATTATATATTATATATTATATCTAATATATTATATATATAATATCGAATATATTATATATTATATATAATATCGAATATATTATATATTATATATATTATATCCAATATATTATATATTATATATATTATATCTAATATATTATATATTATATTAGATGTAACATATATTAGTCATATATAACTAATATATATTAATATAATATATATAATAGATAACATATATTAATATTAGTTATACATAACTAATATATACATAATAATTATAGTTATATATAATTATATTATCTATAGTTATATATAACTCTACACAACTGAAATTACATATACTTCACATGCTATAGAATATAATAAAAATATTCTCTAGAATGAATTCGCATATAGACATAGGACCTAGAATGTGCTTATACAAAGGATCAAATTGAATTCAAAATATCACCAGTAGAGCTACATATACACATTTTGGTAGAATTTCCTCTCTACCTAATATATTCATGAACAGTATCCTGATTTTTCTGTATTATAGCAAAATAATGAAATGCTCAATCAGACAGAGTCTGAAATTCATTGAATTTGCTATTCAATTACAGTGCTTATCTCTTGCCCCCAACATGCCAAAATTATCATACCAATTTAACAAGAATTCCAAAAATGTATTGCCTATGCACAGTCACCTGAAATTACTACTCTAATATCCAGCGGGCAACACTTTCCTTTTACCTCTATGGATTTCACTTTCACATATTACCAACAACCAGAATGACAGGAATTCCTAAAGGAGGTAGAATCATTCACTATCAACATTCTAATCAGGATGAGCATCTTAAAAAGTTATCAACTAAATACATAAATACATAGAGTTTAGGACAGGTGAATTGTCAAAGCAATGGCAGGTCAAAGACATATAAAACGAAAAGTAAGAAAATGTATTAAGAATAGTATATTGGGTTTATAAGAATCTAAAAACATCTGCCTACATTAGGTTAATTTTATATTTGCACCCTTCTGTGAGCTATCTTGAAGAATTTGTTATACTATACCAAACACATTGCCAGCTTCAAGGTCAGTTGATTATCATTTCCATACAGCTCCTTAGTAGCGTATGAGCATGTCCCACACCGATCTAAGCAGCATCAAAGATGAGGAATTCAGTTTCATTACATCAAATGGTTAGAAATACAATAAAACCTTAATTCTTCTAAGACTTTCTTTATATGAAACAGGTTTGTATGTAGAGCCATTAGAGTATGAAAGAAATTGATACAAAATAGGCATAAAATAAATGTTAATAAATCTGAATAAGAGAAAAGAAAATGTCAAATGGAAGAAGAGTTGGTGGTAGGGAGGCCACTGGGAAAAGTTCTCTATCACTGACATAAATGTCTTCCTCATTCCACAATTTATATGCAAAGAAAACAACAACAAAAAAAATCAGGTGTCTTAAAATGTACAAGTACACGTAATAGAAATTTAATACATCATATACAGGAAGCATTAGTTAAACTGATCTCACTGCACTCTCAATCCCAAAGCAACAATGTGTACAAGTACTTATTTGGCAAAATCCAACAATATTTAATTTTTTTAAACTTTCATATTTGAAGTTTGAAAAATGTAAAAAGTATCCAAAAGTTGAAGGCTAAACTGATATGCTACTTACAATTAATAATATTATCTGGTATTGCTGAGTGTTTTGTATGTTCTAAATCATTTACATGCATAATTTCAACTAATTTTTCTTATTACCATCTCTTTTTACATATAAGGATATGGATTGAAGCACTGAAGTAGCTCATCCAACATTACTAGACCCCTAAATGTTTGAAAACAAATCCAGATCCCTTTGATATCAAAGTCCATGCTTTTAATCACCACACTACTTTATCTTCAATCAAAAGTATATATTAAAATTCAGAGGAAGCGATCACACATAACATAGAGGAGTAACATTTCACCATATTTCACAATCCCCTTAATTTCTTATTAGGTTGTGATCAGTGATAGCCACAAAAAAACTATGCACAAAATTCTAATAAAAGAATTTGTTATAAAAACAATAGAAACTATATAGAAGTCCGCCCAATGAAAGGTTACATTGCCCTGATTACACCTGGTGAGGAGAGTGAATAAAAACAAACAATGCACACATACAGAAATATAATCCACTCATCTAAAATCAACTGCTGGCAAATTTTCAAAATGTATCTAATAAAAGGTGTTCATCAAAGTGAAGAAGGGCAAAAATAAAATGCTAACTAATCCAAGGAAAAACATCAAGATAATCATCACTATAATAAAATAATGGCCAGGCGCAGTGGCTCACACCTGTAATCCCAGCACTTTGGGAGGCTGAGTTGGGTGGATCACGAGGTCAGGAGATCGAGACCATCCTGGCTAACACAGTGAAACCCCATCTCTACTAAAAATACAAAAAATTAGCCGGGCGTGGTGGCGGGTGCCTGTAGTCCCAGCTACTCAGGAGGCTGAGGCAGGAGAATGGCATGAACCTGGGAGGCGGAGCTTGCAGTGAGCTGAGATCAGACCACTGCACTCCAGCCTGGGCAACAGAGTGAGACTCCGTCTCAAAACAAAATAAAATAAAATAAAAAGTAATAATAAATTTTAATGTTATAATATCAATAAGCACCAGGAAGACATATGATAAAAGATCACAACCTGGTGAGATGATGTCATACAAACCATTTGCTGTTTTACAGGATAATATACATTAATAAAAGAATGCTGAATGCTACTGATCTGACAAGTGTAAAAATTGATATGATTTTTACACTTGCAAAATTATACCAGGCAAAGAAGACACTCACTAGAACAGAACAAAAAATGTGATTCTTTCTGTATGTTACAATTGTTTCCAATGCCACTCCAGAGACTATGCTAGTGGGTAATAGGATACTAATGTCATATTCCATCTTCCAACTTTTAAAAAGTTTCCTCCTTACAAATAGGAAAATTGTTTTCCTTATTAGCACTGGATATGGGAAAGATGTAGCTGCAAGGAGTCTTTCATTGATTCCCAAGTGTATCCTGCTGATTTAAGTCAAAATGTTTCCTCCCTGCTTTCCTACTTGGCATCCAGCCCTCCAAAAGCAGTTTGCACCACAACAAAAGGAAATAATCCTCCAAGAAAAGAAATATATTTTTTAGCTAAGGTTAAATGAGACTTTCTTTTTTTTTTTTTTTTTTTTTTTTGATACGGGTTCTCACTCTGTTGCCCAGGCTGAGTGCAGTGGTGTGATCATAGCTCAGCACAGCCTCGACCTCCTAGGCTCAAGCGATCCCTCCACCTCAGTCTGCCTAGTAGCTGGGACCACAGGTGCGTACCACCACACCTGGCTAATTTTTGCATTTTTTTGTAGAGACAGGGTTTCACCATGTTGCCTAAGCTGGTCTCAAACTCCTAGGCTCAAAGTCCTCAGCCTCCCAAAGTGCTAGAATTACAGGTGTAAGCCACCAAGCCCAGCCTCATTTTATTTTATTTCTACTACACTGAAGGAATTGTGGAATTTGACAAGAAATCATCATCTAAGTTTAGATAAGGGCCAATTGACTTAATGCAGTAAGAATAATAGATTAGACAAACCATATGAATAATACAACGGGAAATTACAGACACATTCATCCTAGGTACAGAAACAAAGAATGGTGTTTTTAGTAACCATCACCTTATGACATGATAGGGAAGTCCTGTGATAAAAAAAAATTACACATAAATGATTATGTGAGATACAAAAAAAAAAAAATTGAAAATGCCACAAAGTGAAGATAATATATATGTAGAAAAAAAGTTTAAAATAGGTAAAATAAAAATAATTAAATTATATAAAACAAACCAACATGGCCTTCTATGTAAAAATTACCATAAAAAAGAATATAATGGGAAATGACATATCACAAGAATATAAATTTTACAATAATAATTAAAGAATAGGCATAAAATTAGAGAGGTTAAATGCTTAGGACTGACATGTCAGATAGTGAGATAGTAGTTTACAATGCACAATAACTATACAATACTGACATACAACTCTACACGTTAACGGAAGATAAATATTTCATTTTAACTAATATTCAGTATGCAAATTATGCATTTTAAAGGCAAAAGATCTCAAGATAATGTCTATATTTAAGATATTTTAAGTTATATAATATTCACTGATATATTCGACACACAAACTGCCTTGTCCAGTTCCTGAATAAATCCTGAAAAAGTGCTAGCAAAATTTTAGCCTCAGTACTGACTGAATCACTATTGCTTTAACAATGCTTCTGCCTCATAGGTCTGAGCTGATCTCAGATATGTTAGGACTGGCCTCTGATGGCAATGGAGTATGCATAAATGAAGGGAAAATGAATTTATTACTGTATTGGAAATGACAAGTTTAAGGAGAACATAGAAAATGAATATTAAGTAATTATAATGTTACATAATTATGTAAGAGAGACAAACAGAAAGAATGTAAGCATACAGTCTAATACTTTTACATATACACATACTATTATTCTATTACTGAAAGGCATATTTTATTACAGCTAAATATGATAGAATTTTAAGTTATTTTCCATATGTGCATACTGAGGTATAATGAATGTACTGCAATAAAATGAAATATCTAGGAATGAAGCCAATAGGCTTCTAAAATCAACAATTAAATTTAGGTCTTATATTTGGTGAATTTCTGTACTCTGTTACTTTTGTCAATCAACATATATGCTAACTGATTTAACTTTCCCTTTCAAGAACCACTGAATGTGAAAATAAGCTAACTCACCAATTCTTAAAGCAACCCATAGATGAGGTTCCATTTTACTCACCTTCACCAACTTTATCTATGGGTCCTAAGCTATTTCCCAGGACCTGTGGATCCTAAGCTCATTTCCAAGTTGTTCTCTTTAATACAGTGCTGAAGATTGGAACATAGATACCTAGAATAAGGAAGAAGGTTGTGTGCCATGAGTACAATAGATTGATGATGCCAGCATTGATTTACTCAGAAGTATGTCTTGAGCAAGAAGATGCTTTCTCATGATGACTTCACACATCTTCACCTGGTATTAGAGATCTGCATTCTGCCCACAGGAGGTAGGGAGATGAAGGAAGGCAATTTTGAGCTCTCATTATTATTTCCTGAATACAAGGACGTGGTTATGTGACAAAGAGATCCTTACGAGCAACAGGGAGAGGGTGGCATGAAGCTGCCCAGTGGCTGGGTTGGCACAGAGAGAAACAAGGCTGAAGTCTCTAGGGAACGTATGTCCTATGCTGTTAATTAGCTGATGTCACTGAGTTGTCCAGGGATGACAATCCTCAGGGAAAATGAAAATAGGGGAGAATGCCAGAGAATATCTAATCTGTCTTTTATATTATTTCATGTGTTTGACAGCGGACAGATAACTCCCTAGATCTCCCCAGCGATCTTAGCTGTTGTCGTTGAATGGCTTAGGTATTTTACAAAAAAAAAAAAAGCAAGATAAGATATTTTTTAAATAACAAGATTTTTTCCTCACAATTGCAAAAAATATATATATATTTAAAATAAGAATTAATTCAGTTACCTAGTATTCAGTATAAATATAGAAATGCATTTTTCACTTAATTTCATTCATAACCAATTTATAAGGAATCACAGAGTAATAATTTAGGCACATTCAAATCTTTAAGATCACTATAATTGAGGAAACCACCACATTTACTACTAAACTTCTAATGTGGCTACGAAGAAAAAAATCACAAATCCTCTATAACATTTTTCAGGTTATATCCAAATTCTTGATTTTAAAATGAAACTTACATGATTTGTTTGAATTGAACTAGGATAGCCTTTGCATTTAAGTTTCAGTTTCAAGTGATTCTGAGTTTATCAGGATAGTTTTAAATAATTCCTAAAGAAAAAGTAGAATGAAGTTGATGGGTATTTTGTCTGTTGAAGTCAAGTTTGAGGATCTATTAATCTTTTTTCTTTTCTTTCTTTTTTTTTTTTTTTGAGATGGAGTCTCGCTCTGCCGCCCAGGCTGGAGAGCAGTGGCGCGATCTTGGCTCACTGCAACCTCTGCTTCCCGATTTCAAGCAATCCTCTGCCTCAGCCTCCCGAGTAGCTGGGATTACAGGTGCCCATCATCATGCCTGGCTTTTTTTTTTTTTTTTTTTTTTTAAAGTAGAGACAGGGTTTCACCGTCTTGTCCAGGCTGGTCTTGAGCTCCTGACCTCGTGATCCACCCGCCTTGGCCTCCCAAAGTGCTGGGATTACAGGCGTGAGCCACCGTGCCCAGCCAATCTATTTTCAAAACAATTTATCTTTGTTCCACTAAACAGGCAAAAGGCAGACATAAATAACAATGTCTGACTTTGGAAAGGTTTGGCCTTAAATGTCAAGTGCAACTTCAATTTAAAAACTCCCTTTTTCCAGACTGAAACACATTTTGTTAAGAGCAATAGATGATTACTAACTAGCAACATAAGCTAGCTCAAAGAAAGACACTTAGGTTTGAAGCATCTTAGTTTTTATTAGTTAGTTGTACAAGCATAGAGAGCTTCTGTGATTAACTTTCATTCCACAGCCAGCTGCTTTCCAGATATTCATAAATTCCAGGTTTCTTTATAATAGCCTAGAGAGATAAATTATCTCCTGCTAAAAATAGTCTTAGATTAGAACTTTCTCAGTTATCTCCCTACTAATTAAATCCCATCATAATATTTAGAAGAAGGTCTTGTAAAGGCCAGTACTGCTTAGGGTGTCCAGAGGAGGGAGGGGATTTGACCGCTGTTAACTCTTTCCTTCACAATTCACCCTTGCTGCTGGAAGTATTTATTGGCACAATCATACTGGATAACAGTTTGGCATTATCTAGTAATGCTGACTAGCAATTACATTCCAAAGTTAAATATTCCCTAAAGTGATACTTGGTCATATGCCCCAGGAGACATGTACAAGAATGCTCATAGCAGCATTGTTTGTATTAGTGAAAAACTGGAAGCAATCCAAATGCCCATCAGTAGTAAAATGGGTAAATTGTGGCATATTCATATAACAGAGTACTATACAACAGTATTAGTAAACTACAGCTACACAAATTGAAACAGATGTCCTTCACACAAAAATGCTCAGCAAAAGGCGCAAGTCTCTTGATATAAGTTCAAAAATCGGTAAAACAATGTTTTTATAAATGCAAACATAGGTGAAAAATTTATATTCAAAAGCAAAAAGAAGGGCCAGGCTCACACCTGTAATCCCAACACTTTGAGAGGCAGAGGTGGACAGATCACTTCAGCTCAAGAGCTCCAGACCAGCCTGGGCAACATGGCAAAACCTTGTCTCTACAAAAGATACAAAGATTATCTGAGCCTGGTGGTACATACCTATAGTCCCAGCTGCACAGGAGGCTGAGGTGGGAGGATCACTTGAGCCTGGAAGGTGAAGGTTGCAGTGAGCCCGAGACCGCACCAATGCGCTCCAGCCTGGGGATTGAGCCAAACTTTGTCAAAAAGAAAGAAGGAAGGGGAGGGGAGGGGAGGGGAAGGGACTAAAGGGGAGGGGAGAAGGAAGGAAGCAGAGTTTTCACAGACTGGAGGTGGACACTCCTTGCCCTTGTGAGGGTCTTGAAAACTCCTTCCAAAACTATTTTGTCTCTGGAAATTTGCTGAAACCTAAAAATGATTACATATAGTCTCATGGAGTAACGACTGTGAACTCTAAAAGCCTAAAACATGTGAAAAGATCCCATAGACCACATGCTACATTTCTATCATCCCCGCCTAACACACAGGTTCAAATACTCATATGCACAAAACAAGTACTTAAGAAAGCTCCCGGGCCGGGCGCAGTGGCTCACGCCTGTAATCCCAATACTTTGGGAGGCCGAGGCGGGCTGATCACGAGGTCAGGAGATCAAGACCATCCTGGCTAACACAGGTGAAACCCCGTCTCTACTAAAAATACAAAAAAAATTAGCCGGGCGTGGTGGTGAGCGCCTGTAGTCCCAGCTACTCGGGAGGCTGAGGCAGGAGAATGGCGTGAACCTGGGAGGCGGAGCTTGTAGTGAGCCGAGACCACGCCACTGCACTCCAGACTGGGCGACAGAGCAACGTCTCAAAAAAAAAAAAAAAAAAGGGAAAGAAAGAAAGCTCCCAAAATTTGATTTACTATATGTTATTTGACCAATGAATGGCTGTGTTTAGGTTGCTGAATATACGAGAAACCTTAAAACAGTTAATTTTTTTTTTTTTCTGTTACCCAGGCTGGAATGCAGTGGTGCTATCTCAGCTCACTGCAATGGCCACCTCCTGGGCTCAAGCAATTCTCCCTCCTCAGCCTCCTGAGTAGCTGGGATTACAGGTGAACGCCACCACACATGGCTAATTTTTGTATTTTTGTAGAGACGGGGCTTCACCATGTTGGCCAGGCTGGTCTTGAACTCCTGACCTCAGGTGATCCATCTGCCTCAGCCTCCCAAAGGGCTGGGATTACAGGCGTGAGCCACCACACCCAGCCAGTTAGCTCATTTCTATTTTAACATATTAAAATTTTTACTGTTGGTCATTTTGAGACCAATGCTATAATTCTTATATAATTAAGTTATGATAATTAATGACATCTAAAATTAAAAATTGTAAACATGAAACTGACAATCACAATGAGAAACTCTTTAAATGGACAGCAAGCTGACTAAAACATTAAGAAAAGTTGATTGCCACATTTTGCTGATCATTAGTCTCTACCTAGTAAGTGAGAGTGGGGGCTTATTCAAAGGAATTGTAAAAGATATGCCATAGTTCTAAGGAAAGAGCTTAACATTGGAGTCTGCATATCTAGGTTCATATCTTGGCCCCATTGTTTAGAAGCTATGCCACTACAATAAATAATTTAACCTCCCTATTTCAGAGTATGCGAGTATGCACAATTGTAAAATAAGAATAATATTGTCCTTCAGTGTTGTGGTAAGATGAAGAATGTGGAAATGCACTATGAATTGTAAAGCATTATGTAAATGCAAAGAACTACGAGCATTTCTGGCTAAAGTCACACCTTTTCTTCATTTTCCTAGGTCACCGTCAATCATGGCATGCTATTAGCCACTCCCTCCTTCAAGGTGTCAGCAGGGCTATGCTTTCTGAAGGCTCTAGGGGAGAATCTGTTCTACACCTTTCTTTTAGCTTTTGGTGCTGCCAGAAATCTTTAGTATTCCTTGGCTTGTAGACACATTATTCTAATGTCTGCCTCTGTTGTCATATAGTGTTCTCCCTGTGTATCTGTGTCTGTCTCTGTTTTCTTGTCTGATCCTTTATAAAAAGTTGGGCTGGCCGGTGCAGTGGGTTACAACTGTAATCCCAGCACTTTGGGAGGCCAAGGTGGGCAGATGGCTTGAGCTCAGGAGTTAAAGACCAGCCTGGGCATTATGGTGAAAAGCCATCTCTACTAAAAATACAAAAATTAGCCAGGCATGGCGGTGCGTGCCTGTAGTCCCAGCTACTTGGGAGGCTGAGGTGGGAGGATCCCTTGAGCCCAGGAGGTTGAGGCTGCAGTGAGCTGAGATTATGCCACTGCACTCCAGCCTAGGTGACAGAGTGAGACCCTGTCTCAAAAAAAAAAAAAGTTGGGCTATAACTTCTTTGATCTTTCCCAATATAGCTCTTAAGCAACCACCCTACATGAATCCTCCTCCTCCAGTAAAGCATACTCTGTGCTTAGACTTTTTCTTTTTCTTGAAAAGCTCTCCCTACTCATCTCCATCTAGGCAAAGATTCACATTCTGCAATGTTCAGCTCAAGTTCTATTATTTGGAAGCTTACCAAACCAATCAATTTGTTCTCATGTTTCTCTGAGCTCAAACACAATAGCCTACCGCATTAATTTGGCAATTAATCATGCATCATCTTTTTTAGTTTCTTGTATTCTCATTTACAACTTATTTAACTTATTTGCTCTTTGTTTTTACTTGTCAATTCCATTGTAAATCTTCTTAGAGTGAGGTATATAGTGATTTATTTATATTTCCTGTAGCATTTAGCAGACACAGGTTCTTAAAAGTATTTATTTAATACTACGTGGTTTAACAATCTCTTTCAACAGGCATAACTGGATATAAAATTAGAAGCTATCTTTATTCTCAATTCTCATTCTACACAAAAAGGAAACCCTTGTCATCTGACATTCTTCACCTCCAACAATATAATACCAGCTTACAATCTTCTGTAGATTTAAATTAAACATCTCTTCTTGCATTATTGTGCTCATGGATCCTAAAAACTCAAATCTCTGACCACCCCCACAATTCCAAGCTCTCCCTTCCTGCCTGCTGTCTCAGCTCATCAAATTCTCTCTCATTCCACCAATGGACCAACCACCTTCTCCCTGTTCTCTGGAAGTAGTTCTCAAAACCAGCTCTGCAGTTCCCTTGTCAGGATGGTCAGCAATTGCTCCAACGTCAGAAGCTCAAAGCTCTGCTCCTGGTGTGCATATCAGACCATGGCCACCTACAAGAAAGCTTCCAGAGACCCTAGAAGAGGACTCATCAAATTGCCTAAAGCACCAGCACAAGATCTCTTGCCCAGAAAAGCTCCACTTCAAATTATATTAATATTCCCAGGTGTTCTCTTCCTTTATCTTTACTATTGGAAGTCTCTCTTATTTGAAAGAAAAGTGGAATCCAGGGTTTCTGTGCTCGTTGATTTTAATGCCATTTATAAAATGGCTCCTAGAATATGGAATCTAGATTTCTGGGAGATTCCTTCATGCACTATTGTTGAGGGACATTCCTAAGGCAAGAAATATCATTGTTAATATTGAAAAATCACAAAAATTCCTACTGAATTTAAAATAAAATTAAGGTAATTTACTGTAAATGAAATGTGGCTATAAAAATCAAAGAAGAGGTGAGATGACGGGGAAAATGAAGTTAGGGAAAAAAACAATCAACTCTCCCCCCGAAAAAAGAGCACTTGTTACCCAACTACAATTTTAAAAAAATGACTCTAGTTATCCAACTGTCAAAAAAGTAAAAAACACAGACTGACAGAATGAACTGGAGTCCTGAACAGACATAAGCCCAGCAAGGGTTTCAAAGAACAAGAAAGGAAAAAAGTACATAATTAATATTTGATTTTTTTTTTTTTTTTTAGACAGAGTCTCGCTCTGTCACCTAGGCTGGAGTGAAGTGGCACGATCTCGGCTCACTTCAACCTCCATCTCCTGGGTTGAAGTGATTATCTTGCCTCAGCCTCCTGAGTAGCTGGGACACAGCCATGCGCCACCACGCCAGGCTAACTTTTTGTATTTTTAGTAGAGACGGGGTTTGACCATGTTGTCCAGGCTGGTCTTGAACTCCTGAGCTCAGGCAATCCACCCGCCTTGGCCTCCCAAAGTGCTGGGATTACAGGTGTGAGCTACTGCACCCAGCCTAATATTTGATAATTAAATGAGAATCTAAGAGGGTCAAAACAATATTCTGGCAATAAGTGGTAGTTTCTAATAAACAGCAAGCACAACACAGCCTTACCAGAGTACAAATGTACAGAGAAAGAATGTGATGTATTAACTAGACCTGATTCCAGAACCTTGTTGACTTGATAAACCATGACCATTAAAAAAATGACAGAGCAGTGCCAGACTCAGGGAATACCTGCGTTAAGCAAGTGGAAGGAGATGGAAGGAAGTCGTTTTAATTGAAAGCATTTTGAAGATAGTGAATGAAGGTCTTTGGGGAAGATACTAATTTATCTAGTATTTGTGGTGCCAGGTTTCTCTACCCCCCAAAATAAACCTGAATAATTAATGGCAGCAGATTAAACTCAAGAAGCTCTGGATTTTACTGGGAGAAGGAAAGAGAGGTAAGACATCTTTGCCTTTATCTTTCCATAGCTTACTACAGTGCTGGCACATCATATATATTTCAATACATACAGGTATTCGATACACATTTCTTTAAGTAGTTAATTTATTACACAATAAAAGATCAAAAATTGATAGCTGGTTATCACAGCTAAAGAAGAAAGGTAATTTGAATACTATGAAGAAATGGAGATTTTCATCAGGGACAAAATAAATGTTTGTATATTATATGGTTTGGCTCTGTGTCCCTGCCCAACCCTCATCTCGAATTGTAATTCCCATGAGGGAGGGACCTGGTGGGAGATGGCCTTGCTAACACTTGGTTGCAAATATTAGATTATTCAATAAGAGAGCCTTTTAATTCATGTTAGGGATCATCTCCAAAAGTGCAAAATATGTGCTTTGAAAAAGTACAGCTAAAAATCTAGGAAATTGTATATAAAACAAACATAAGAATACTCTAAAAGATGGAGAAAAGAAGGCAGACTGGCTAGAGATATCAGGACCCAAGGAACAACATTGTGGTGATTTCCTTTTCTTTTTGTCTTTTACATGACTGGACTGAGTGCTGAAGAAGCCAGGATCCAGGAAATGTCAATGGCCACAGACCAAAGAAAGCACCAAGAAAGAAAGCACCAAGGATTCTCTTGACCAAGACTTTCTCTAGCCAAAGGACCAGGAAAGGAGTAGCCTAGAAAAACAGTCAACTTTTAGACAATCCTTCCTAGAACCTTCAGACCATTTAAATCCTTGAATCTCCCTGAGGAATTGTTTGCTAGGTACATTATGCTTACAGTCACAATTGGGGAAGCCACAAGGGAATGAAGTAATTTTTACTGGAGTTGAGGGAGCTTATCAAGATTGAGTTCCCAGGAGCTGCAAAGAAGCTATAAATTTTAATGTGAGGGAGTCCTTTGATCACTCTAGCTCTCACTGCACCAGATATACCCTGCCCAAGAATCATTCCATCCCTCACCCTTGTGCCTCCCAGGGGGAAGGGCAACATTCTCCCCTTTTTGTATTTTCCATTCCCTCTGAGTGAGACTTGGAAACTAACATGCCTGCCTGAGAGCACTGATATGAGCGTCTGGTAAGTACAATGGGAAGTGAGCAGGCTTGGAGAAACAAGGAGAAAGCATGTCTTAAACAAGTTTAGGCTTCACTCAAGGTCAACAGGCATTGCCTAAAATATAGTAGGTACCTAATAACTACTCATGGGATGAATGAATGAATTGATTAATAGCAGCCAACTCTGTGAAATGTGAAATCCTAGATGCTGTGGTAGCTTAGTGAAGAGTGGGCTAGATTTCAAATCAAGAAGGCTGAATTCAGATTCTGGCTTTACTAAAACTCTGTTTTAGCAAACTAATGAAGATATGTGATATATATATTAGAGTTGTGAGGATTAACAAACTGAAAATATTTATTTAGTGTGGCATAGAGTACTTGATAGTGGTAACTCTTGTCTTTACATTTTTTATATCTTTGTAAAAAATATACAGTCATAGAAATTATTCAGCTGATTTCGCGTACTTTAAATTGTTGTATCATGTTTCCAACAGGGAAAATATTTGCTTTATGGAAAACTGAGAAAGAGGGGTAATGTCTTCACTCTCATCACTACTGCCACTACCTTCCTGCACTAATGAGATCAATAAATACTCATGATCCTGCACCAAAAGTATTTCTATGTGTCTATACTCCTTTTTAATGTGCCCTATAAATTACTGAAAAGCCTTTTAATTTTTCCAGGATATTTGTTCTCCAGAGTAGCCTTTTATACATTCTCAATGTTTGATAAGTTCTGCAACCTAATCATACAAAGAGTTAGGATAAGAGATAATAATAGGCCTGGGTGAAAAAAGATAAAACCTGTAGTTGAAAAAGCTGAGTAAATGAAGCCTGAAATGCCAATGAGTATGAACTTGGCCCAAGGTCATGAACAAAAAGGAAGATACTTGTGTCTTCAGAACTGAGATTAGAAAGAATCCAATTTGGTAGAGAAGAAAGTCAAAGGTGCAAAGGTGGGAGGAAAAATAAATAAGTGAAAATCTCTTTAGATGGTCAAAGATATTAAGCAATGAGTCATAGTTGAAGCAGCATTCTGTGACTCTTTTCCCTTTTTCTATAAATCTACTTATTCTTCCCTCTCTGCAGGCAGGTTTCCTCTTTTATTCAGCCTATAGAGCACAAAGTGACCATAGCTCAAATCTTTAAATTTCATGCCTCCACTGTTCAAGAGATAACCCCATTTTACTTGGCTATTCCCCATCTCCCTCAAAGTCCCCTGAGTGAAAGGGCAGAGACTTTTATGAAAGTAGGGAGAAGATGACAGGAGCTGTTTTCTGTTGGAAATCTGTCTTTTAAGCAGAAGTGAAGGATCCACACACTAAAAGTGGTTACTGTCAAGGTAGAGAGGAATTCCACAACCTATATGCAAAATGGAAAAAGGTATTGGCACTTTGGGCTCCAGAGAACAAAGGGCTGCCTGTCAAAAGCAGCTCTGAGAGGATCAATGCCCTGACCTTAGCATCTCTTTCATTAAAATAGGCACTGGCAGAGCAGTAGTAATGAGCAGTCTAGATCAGAGGATCTCCATTCACCAGGGAGAGGGCAGAAAGTTCATTTGAAAACTTTCTGGGGACTCTAAATAGAAATTATGGAAAATGATAAAAACAGAGATTTCTGTGGTACCCAACATGAGATATAAAGGTACAGGAGGACACAGTGAGATAAAAACCTTCCAGAAAGAACTTTTAATATTTTAATTCCTTTGCTTCCTGCAAAACTCAGTTTGTCCTCCTCTTCATCTATGTCCCCTTGATATTCCATAGTGAAAACCCTGTCTCCTGCCATCTCCATAGTTGTTAAAGAACATTGATTAAACTAATGCTATGTGGCTGGAGTTGTGCCAAGTGGTATGATACAACTATAACTCGTGTTTCCTGAAACTAGTCAGCCTGAAGACCAGGTATAAACAGGAGGCTGTTATTTTATCTACCATGATACGTACTGCAGCCTATGAAAAACTGCTTTAATTATTTCTGGGAGTTCCCAGGAAATTCCCACATGAGCTCCACATTCACCAGAGTCTAAAATGCCAAAGCCTTCTTCCATTTTGCATAGAAGTGTATAGAATGCCTCTCTTTCATTCTTTTATTTTCACGCTTTATTATTCAATGGAAAAGTCATCCAACGGAGTCCTTCAGTTCTCACCACCAGACTCTCCAACCCTTTGGCTTAGACACATAACAGTGGGGCTGGATAGAGAACCAGTCATAGAGTTGCATGTAGTGGTGTCTCACATCCCTTGGCATGCAGCTCATTCCATCCAAAAAATCAGTCTGACTTCATAGGCAACTATAAATCATTGTTCATAAAACTGGGTTTTCCTACATAACTATGAATAAGATTCAATACATGTGCTTTCCAAAACACTACAAGAAAGAATCATGAAAAAAAGCCAAAACAACTATATACTATATGGCCTAGGATAAAAATTATTATAAAATGTACATTGAGAGTACATATTTCAGAAGACATTTTCTGAGTCTTTAATAAGTATATTCATTCATTCATTCAACAAACACATACCGAGTACTGCAACCTTGGCCTCCTGGGTTCAAGTGATTCTCCTGCCTCAGCCTCCCAAGTAGATGGGATTACAGGCACGTGCCACCACGCACAGCTAGTTTTTGTATTTTTAGTAGAGATGGGGTTTTGCCACTTTGGCCAGGCTGGTCTGGAACTCCTGGCCTCATGCGATTCTCCTGCCTCAGCCTCCCAAAGTGGTGGGATTCCAGGCATGAGCCACCTGCCCCTGGCTGTATGCCAGACATTCTACACATGTAGTAATTTTTTTAAAAGACAAATTTTCTGTTCTTATGAACTTTACATTTTACTGATTACAAGTTAAAAATTAAAAAAGATATTTGTGGGGGAAGACAAGAAAATTTCAGATAATGATTAGTGATATGAAGACAAAAACAGGGCAATCTTATAAAGAAAGTCTTGAGGGAAGCTTTAGATAGGGTGGTCAGAGAATTCCAAAATGAGAAAAAACATGTAGACATAAAATTTCAGTGTGTCAGAAAATTCTAAGGGTTACAAATTAATCATAGCAAGAGATGGCTAGAGAGGTAAGAAAGAGATCATGGGGCCAAGCACGGTGGCTCACGCTGTAATCCCAACACTTTGGGAGGCCAAGGCAGGTGGATCACCTGAGGTCAGGAGTTCGAGACCAGCCTGGCCAACATGGAGAAACCCTGTCTCTATTAAAAATATAAAAATTAGCCAGGCATGGTGGCATGCACCTGTAGCGGGAGGAATCATGAAAAACCTTGTATGCCATGATAAGGGATTTGGAATTTGGTTTGAAGGCAATTAAAAACTATTAGAATGTTTTAAGAAATAAAGTGGAGAAGTTTTTTTGTAGAAGGATAATTCTGGATTGTAAGGGAAAACTCTGTGGGAAGGAAAACCCATTAGAAATTCATTGCAATTTGTGGGGCACATGGCTCATGCCTGTAATCCCACCACTTTGGGAGGCTGAGGCAGGAGAATCACATGAGGCCAGGAGTTCCAGACCAGCCTGGCCAAAGTGGCAAAACCCCATCTCTACTAAAAATACAAAAATTAGCTGTGCGTGGTGGCACGTGTCTGTAATCCCATCTACTTGGGAGGCTGAGGCAGGAGAATTGCTTGAACCCAGGAGGCCAAGGTTGCAGTAAGCAGAGATCGCACCACTGCACTCCAGCTTGGGTGACAGAACAAGACTGTGTCTCAAAAAAAGAAAAAGAAAAAAAGAAAGAAATTCATTGCAATTATCTAGATAAGAGATGGTGGTGAGAGTCTGACTTGATCACTCAGCCCACAAGTGATGAGGTCTGGTTTCAATGTAGGCTAACTTCAGAGTTCACATTCTCCACCATTTTTTCTCCCTCTTACAGGGTCCTCCGTTCTTCTGAAACTATCCCCTTTGTGTACACGAATGTCTTCTTAATTATTTTCCATGATAATATTTTTCCTCTACAACCTGATTCCAAGATTCTCAGGTCAAGAACTCTGTCTTCTGTTACTTTGTGTTTTCTGCAACTCCCAGAAATGCAAGACTCAAAGTAATAATATACTTTATATACATGAACCCCTTCTTTGTAGTTATAGTTAAAATATTACAAAAATAGTAAGAGAATCTTTTAAATCTGCCTCCCTGTTTCACATAACTTTTTCTCTGTGTTCTTTAGTTTTATCTACATATATTATGTAACTTCGGATGTTACATAACTTTTTAACTTATTTGTAAATATTTTCCTATATTGTTCACAGTTCATGTAAACTACTTTTGGAGGCTTAACTTTTTATACTTGTCAAGAAAATTAACATATTTTTCTTTTGAATCTTGAATAAATAATATCATTTGTTTTCATTTTATTATTCCTAAATGGTAGGTGTCTGCCTGGTTTTCAAGCAGGGGGGTTCATATAGTGTTGGAAAAATATTTGGAAAAATTCTTCATTTAAATCTCATTTTATGACATAAAGTCATTTAGTATGTCACTCATTGATGCATTTCAACACACAGCAGTCAGTCATATACAAGGCAGAACACGCAAGAGTTGGTGACAACATCACAAGTAGGAAAAGAATTTCTGCTTTCTGAGGGGAGATATATACAGATCGCATGGACATCTTGGATAAGGTGACGTTCCAGTAAGAGAGGATATATGTAAAGACAACTGATGAGGTAGGACATACCTAAGGTTCAGTGAGGTTTGAGAGAGAGCATCAGAGAGAAGGTAGGATGGCCTAAAGAAAGAACATTTAGTAAGTGGTACTAGACTAGGTGAATATATAAAAAATAACAAGGGACATTTTTTTTACTGGCAAAAATATTTCATTCTCTGGGTCTTCATGCAGATATATTCAAGCAATGGAAGGGAAAAATCAAACCAATATCTCTGAATTTCTCCTCCTGGGCTTCTCAAGTTGGCAACAACAGCAGGTGCTACTCTTTGCACTTTTCCTGTGTCTCTATTTAACAGGGCTGTTTGGAAACTTACTCATCTTGCTGGCCATTGGCTCGGATCACTGCCTTCACACACCCATGTATTTCTTCCTTGCCAATCTGTCCTTGGTAGACCTCTGCCTTCCCTCAGCCACAGTCCCCAAGATGCTACTGAACATCCAAACCCAAACCCAAACCATCTCCTATCCCGGCTGCCTGGCTCAGATGTATTTCTGTATGATGTTTGCCAATATGGACAATTTTCTTCTCACAGTGATGGCATATGACCGTTACGTGGCCATCTGTCACCCTTTACATTACTCCACCATTATGGCCCTGCGCCTCTGTGCCTCTCTGGTAGCTGCACCTTGGGTCATTGCCATTTTGAACCCTCTCTTGCACACTCTTATGATGGCCCATCTGCACTTCTGCTCTGATAATGTTATCCACCATTTCTTCTGTGATATCAACTCTCTCCTCCCTCTGTCCTGTTCCGACACCAGTCTTAATCAGTTGAGTGTTCTGGCTACGGTGGGGCTGATCTTTGTGGTACCTTCAGTGTGTATCCTGGTATCCTATATCCTCATTGTTTCTGCTGTGATGAAAGTCCCTTCTGCCCAAGGAAAACTCAAGGCTTTCTCTACCTGTGGATCTCACCTTGCCTTGGTCATTCTTTTCTATGGAGCAATCACAGGGGTCTATATGAGCCCCTTATCCAATCACTCTACTGAAAAAGACTCAGCCGCATCAGTCATTTTTATGGTTGTAGCACCTGTGTTGAATCCATTCATTTACAGTTTAAGAAACAATGAACTGAAGGGGACTTTAAAAAAGACCCTAAGCCGACCGGGCGCGGTGGCTCACGCCTGTAATCCCAGCACTTTGGGAGGCCGAGGCGGGTGGATCATGAGGTCAGGAGATCGAGACCATCCTGGCTAACAAGGTGAAACCCCGTCTCTACTAAAAATACAAAAAATTAGCCGGGCGCGGTGGCGGGCGCCTGTAGTCCCAGCTACTCGGGAGGCTGAGGCAGGAGAATGGCGTGAACCCGGGAAGCGGAGCTTGCAGTGAGCCGAGATTGCGCCACTGCAGTCCGCAGTCCGGCCTGGGCGACAGAGTGAGACTCCGTCTCAAAAAAAAAAAAACAAAAAAAAAAACCCTAAGCCAAAGAAAAATCTTCTCCCACTGATTTATACAGGCTGCAGGGAGTTCAACAGGAGTCATATTTTAATATCATTTTCATTCTCATCATAATTGCAAAGCTGTTATTAAATATCTAATTAGACTTATTACTAACCTAAGTTTACTACAAACTCTAGGAGTAACATAATCTTATTATTAATTTGAGCTCCCTAAGATATTATTGATGTGGGCAACTATTTATATATAAAGTCCCTAAAAATCACAATAAAAATATGAAATAAACATTTGAATGTATCACTAAGACATCACATGCAGCTCAGATAAATATGTGAATATACCACACGGAGCACAAAATGGAGCATTTTCCCAGGACTGCTCTCCTCCCAGAGTGGACTTGAGTAGGTAGCCATGTTGTCGTGCATAAAAAACACTGTAGAATAAAATTACTATGTAATGAAAGATTCGAATCATAGCTGCAATGTGAAGTCAAAGAGAGAGGATATTGGTGAGGGCTTACAAGGTCAAATACAGCTTCAGGAAAAAGATGACAGTTAATCTGGGTCCTGAACATGGGTACGTTTTACATACGAATGATAACAATATTCAAAACACACAAGGAAGGTTTGTGGGTAAGAGGTAGCATGGTATGTTAGTATGAATAAACAATTGAAAAAATCAACCTGAATGTAGTAGAGTCTACATTAGAGACTGATGAGAGTGAGGGATAGAGTTATTTCTCATTCTGATGTTTTGCACCTATGCACATTTTATGATTATATTGTATATATTTCCTACAATTTGTCTGTATTCCCACGTGTAAAAAGTGAAATTTATGTCTACATCTATATCTATACAAATCTTCATGCTAGTCTTCCAAGAATTGTCTGGCGTACTATTAATGTCATTTTAATGCTTAAAATTCTGTATTTGTCATTTACTCTGGACTATGCATAAAGTTATCTATATGTAGACTATATCTGTAATGAAAGCTTATGCCTTTGTGGCTTTTGATTTGGAGCTCGTATCTGATTTAACTGGCTGTTTTGTGTGTCTACAATGTCTCCCAGAGCCCTGAAAAAGTGCATTTTTTCATATGCTGTATATCCCAATTTTAAGTCATACAATCCAAAATATCTCTTCAAACTTGGTAAAAAATATTTTCAACCATTTTATATGATATAATAATTTACAGGGAGAAGCAGAGATTTAAAAGATAGAGATAGAGTTGGGTAGTTGAAAAATTGCTGGAAGGGTTGGAGAACTAGACTGAGAGGCCCACAGCCAAAACAACATATAGAACCATCTCAGGGGCTGACCAACAAAGTTATTGTCACTGAACACTGGGTCTCACAGCTTGTGCCACTGACACTGCCTGCCCTGGATGTTGGATGCCTATGCTAGCTTGATGCCACTGCTGATACACAAATTGGACATTTTTGCCACTGCCACCACTACTAGAGAGATTTTCCACTGCTTCTAGTTCTTTGTACCACCTATCCTTGATTCAAATTGCAGGAAGGCTGTATTTGATTAGTCAAACAGAACACATGCCCTTGCCCTAAGTACAAGGAAGACCAAGAAAGAGAATATCTCCAATTTTCACCTCTACTGAACACCATGCTGTGCCTCCCAGATCCCCTTTCAGGACTGAAGAATGCATTTCTCCAGTTGCTGGGAGTGTTGTTGCTAGTAGCCTTTTCAGACAGTCCTCACTCTCAGCCCCTCTCCAGAAACTGCCCTCAGCTGGAAAGAACCACTTGGCCCAAGGTCATGACCCCACCATAGGATAAGCTTCAACCAGATACTGGTCTCTTGACCATAAAGCCTGGGCAGGGAACATTGAGATGGGAACTGGGGTGGAAAGTGCCACCAAACTGGATTGGTATCCTTATTCCCCTGAAGCAGGAGGCCACTATCTCTCTGGACCTGACCCTCACTTTCCTTTTCAATGAAGGGTCTGGGGAGGCACAATGGCAGTGGGCAGGCAGTGCCCCCATACCAATGGGAACCAAAGTGACACCAGTATGGTGTCATCCACCCCTATCACTGTAGAGTCTACGACTCCTCCCACACTGGGCAGAGGGTCTGGTACAGCTCTCCTGGAAGATTCCCAAGGAAACCAAAATTATTGTAGCAAGGCAGAGTTAATACCAGCTTTATTATGCCAGAGAGTGGGAGACGCCCTATGTGTTTCTAATAAGTTTTTGTCATTTCACTGTTAGCTTGAGTTGCCTTCTCCTTTTGCTGTTATATCATTCCCACTGGCACCTGGAAATCCTTCCAAAATGTTTTCCTGGCCTGGGGCCATCACACAGCCCATCTGCATGGCCAACCTAACTGCTGAGTGTTTGGTCTTATGCCCTTGAATAGCCATGTAGGAACTCCATGGTGGACTGAGCCACTACTGGGTAAAGACTGGATCTCTGTACAAACTTGGATGACCGGACAATGCATATAAATAGGTACCCTAGATTCCTCTAACACCACACATGCAAATGTGAGTGATTGAGATAGGACATTGAACAACTACAGACAAAATTTAAGTTTTTCCCTAAACATGTCCCATAGGAGGCAACCATCAAAGTGAAAACTGCCCTGAAGAGCACCAGGTTCTGGCAATGGAGATCATACTGGCAAATGTGGGATGGCTTTCTTTAGCTCATCCTTACAGCAAGGATGCTCTCGAGTTGCATAGATCTGTTGGGAACAACATAATCACTCTAAAGACATTCAGGTAATACCTAAGGTATTCTCCTAGTACCTAGATTTCCTCCCAATTGCCCAATGCCAACACACCATTATCCTTAAGGTCACAGATTGATTTGTCACAAACAGTCTTGTAGGCCAGGAATATACTGAATTGCCCCAGATGGCACCCAGTGGCTCTCTGCTACTAACCTCCAGCCCTGGCTTCCCCTGGGGTGGCTTGGATGACTCCAGAATCTCTGGCACCATTCCTGTATCCCTCAATGAGTCCATCTGGAGAGGTCAGTGGAGTAGACCTGTTTTTTCTTGGTGGGATTACTTATTGACTATATTTGTGCCTCCAGGAGGTTCTTCTGATACTGTGTAGAAGCTGGAAGCCCTTCAGAGATTTGTCTCCACAGCTTTGAACAACACCAAACATGGTATGGAGGCCTTGAACATTGAAACAGCTGCAGTGAAAAAAGTGGTCTACAAAACCAAATGGCCCTAGAGATGCTGACATCTGTGCAAGGGGGAACCTGTGCCCTTTACAAAAGTGAACATTGTGTGTATATTCTAGACAAAGAAGCTGAAGTTAATCAATCCGTCCTTCACTCACGAAAGCAATTACAGCTTACTGACCACATAGGGTATGCCTGGTGGTCTACACAAAGTCATGTTTTCCAGGATGGGGTCCTTGGTGGAAAGCTCTGCTAGGAAGCCTTTTGGAAAATGTGATTTTAGATTTTGTCAGGTGCACTTGTATTTACTGTTAGTGTAGGTTTTGTTTGCAGTGTTTCATAAAGCCAGGGGAAAGAAATTGCCGATGATCCCACCCTTTCTGACCAGCTCAGGGAACATATAGGAAGAGATGGGCATGTGAGATTGTAAGAGCCAGTCAGGAAAATGGATTGCAGGATCTCTGACTGGAAATCACAGAGCCTTGACTATTCTGTGACTGAAAATCAGAGTGCCTTGACCTCTCTGTGACCTAGCCAGCTGCAGATTTTTTCCCAGCATGCTTGAACCCAAACTTGGGTCTTGAACATTCCCAGGCACTGATAAAGGTATCTAAGTTGTCACTGAAAACAGTGAAAGAAACTAGCTCTGGCCCTGAGCCAAATTCTTTAAACCCTTATATAAACTCCATACCCTGACCCCCTCACTGCAGACATATCTAGGTAGAATGTCCCTTTTCTCTCACCACCCATGGGGAGGATTCCTGCAACACTATGTAAGTTCCCTTAATAAATGCTTTGGACAGATCACCTTGGCACATAGTGCTCCTTTCTTTGGAATCCCAACCAGCCCCAACTAGGACGGTTTTGGGCACTCCCTTGTGTGAACTCCCCTGCCACCACTTTTGGGGGACAAAACAGTACATATCTAATAGAATCATCTTGTTAAAAAGCAAGGGAACAACAAATACAAAATTTGTGATAGTGTTTCCTCGGATGAGAGGTAGTATAGAGAGGGACTAGAAAAAGAGTAGTATTAAATCTAAGTTGTTGTCAATCTACAGTTCTTATAGACTAGGTAATGGATTAAAAAATGTTCACACTTTAAGGCCATGCATGGACCAATGACAGCCAGTGGTTTTAATTAATACCATTTTGAATATCTGAGTTCCACTGGGGTAAGGGGATGAATCAAACAAGGCCTCAGAAGAAAAGTTGTCTGGGAATGCAGGAAGGTTTTGCAGAGGAGATGAAGTTTCAGTTGCAACCCTGCTGCGTGGGCTTCAATTTCACCACCTGAGATTTAAATAGAGGCAGGAGTCACTCAGGCTAGAATGCAGTGGTGCAATCACAGCTCACTATTGCAGCCACCACCTCCTGGGCTCAGGCGATCCTCCCACCTCAGCCTCCCGAGTAGCTGGGAGTACAAGTGCATTCCACAACCCCCGACTAATTTTTTTTTTTTTTAATTTTTGTAGAGACGAGGTCCCAACTATGTTGCCCAGGCTGGTCTCGAACTCCTGAGTTCAATTAATCCTCCTGCCTTTGCCTCCCAAAGCGGGGAATTAGAAAAGTGAGCCAACACGCCCGGCCCACTAGTGTTAAAAAATAAAAACAAAAGCAATAATCTGACAGATAGAGCCAGGGAGGGCTATGAAGAGACACTTCTCAGGCTTGTATGCCTCATAAGAAAACTATCACATATGACTGCAAAACCCATCTTACACCAAAAATACCTCTGCAAGGACATCCGCCCAGCAACTGTTTGTCTAACCTCAGACTGGTGTCATCCTCGTTACCGATCTTTGTAGTCAAGAATAATGATTTCAAAACAATTAAATAATCCTCCCCATTCTTCCTTTAAAAACCTTTGTCTTCCTTTACCTCCCTGAATAGAAACATAGTTTACTCTGGCACGTCTATTCTTATTGCAATTTCCTATTCCCGAATAAACTTTTTTTTTTTTTTTTGAGATGGATCCTTGCTCTGTCGCCCAGGCTGGAGTGCAGTGGCGTGATCTCAGCTCACTGCAACCTTCACCTCCTGGGTTCAAGCGATTCTTCTGTCTTAGCCTCCCAAGTAGCTGGGACTACAGGCGCCCACCACCACACCCAGCTAATTTTTATATTTTTAGTACAGACGGGGTTTCACCATGTTGGCCAGGCTGGCCTTGAACTCCTTGTTAAATACAGTGAGTTCTAAATTTCTCTTCAAAGAATCAGTATGTCAGTATGTTCAATTCTTTGTTCTCCATTTTAAACTTTAACTTCCTCATTTTCCTCGTCTCCTTGCCTCTAGTTTCAGTAAACAACCTTTTCCACCAGTTCTAATCAGTAGTTCACATCTGTTCCCCTGGTGACCTGCTCCGTCCTGAGTCACCCCTGGTCACCTGCTCTGACCTGAGTCACCTTTAGTCACCTGTTCCGTAACCGTCCTTCCCACTGAAACTGCTCACCCTACCACTCCGGCTCATACCCCTGCTCTCTTTAAAATAGCCAATCGGAATTAACTTAGACTGTGCGGTCCAACCCTAGCCAGTAGGGGAACGACACAGCACTAGGGACTACCTGCGTCAGGGATAAGAACCCCTTCCCCTCCCTTGTTCAGGTGTGCTCTCGCCATTGCTCCATCCGTGAGACGCACCCTTCTATAGAAGTAAATTGCTTTGCTGAGAAAATGTGTGCTCGAGTGTGTATCTTTTTCTTCTTCTTCTTTTTCTGAGACTGAGTCTCACTCTGTCACCCAAGCTGGAGTGCAGTGGCGCGGTCTCGGCTCACTGCAAGCTCCGCCTCCCGGGTTCAAGCGATTCTCCTGCCTCAGCCTCCCGAGCACCTGGAACTACAGGCGCGTGCCACCACGCCCGGCAATTTTTTTTTTTTTTTTTTTTTTTGTATTTTTAGTAGACACAGGGTGTCACCGCGTAAACCAGGATAGTCTCGATCTCCTGACCTCGTGATCCGCCCGTCTCGGCCTCCCAAAGTGCTGGGACTGCAGGCGTGAGCCACCGCGCCCGGCCAACGTCATTTTCTTTTCAGGAGTCCCTTCTGTTATTTAGCAAGACACACTACTACAATGGAGAAAAAAGATGCCCCCTCCTTCAAGCCCTGAGATCTTCAGGACTTTGGCGAAAAGTCTGCGCCCGAAGAGACCCAGGAAGGATTCTTGGAATTGTAGTCCAAAGGCATCCCGCCTTCTGCGCAGACTCACAAGTCCCTGTGGACGGAATTCTTGAAGTGTAGCGCCGCTCAGTCCTTCCACCGGAAGTGTCCGATCGGAATCAGCCCTGTCCGAGAGGTGAGTCCGGGTTTGGGGATCCAGATGTCCAGCCCCGTGTCCCCCTCCAAACATCCAGTCCCTCTCATATTGCCTTTGAAATTAGCAGCCTCTGGGTGACCAGACCTTGGCCCTCAGAGGAATCCCGGAGAAAGGTAGAACCAGCTTCGGCGTTGGGAACGCAGGCGCGCTTACGCATTTAGTGAGGGTTTGGCGGTCTCCATAGTTACCGCCGCCGCGCGTGACGTCATAGTGGAGCGCTGAGGGCTTGGTGGCGTGGGGTGGGGGCTGTCCTACTGATCCTGAATTTGGGGTCACTGGTAAGAGGAGTTGCCCATTCCAGCCAGGTGGAACGGGGAGGGGTGCCACATGTCTCAGATCTGCCATTGTCTGCGAAAAGAAACTGCTGCGAGGACCATCCCCAATCCCCTGCTTCCCTTGGGAAGAGTAACCGCCGTTTTGTAGGACACTTGGGGACAACCCCGCTTGTCCTGAAATTTATTGACACGGTAAATAGTATTTCCTGTGTGCCGAGGATGCAGTTAAACCAACACTGACCCCCTGCCCTTGAGAAACACAAGGTACTATGGGAGCCTTTACCAGCATGCCCCTTGAAGTCTCTGTTCTGCTTTGTGGTCTCTACCGGATTTCCCCTGACTGTCTCCCTCTCCACCAACAAAACTCTCACCCGTCTTCCCCTCCCGCAACATGCCCACCAAGACATGTTCATCCATCAGGAGCCCTGCTCTTTAACCTCCAACTTTCTCATCATAATTAATTACTCGTTCCTCTCTGTTCTCCTAGCGTTTCTTCACACATCTGCTTACCCATTTTTGTAAGTCCTCCTAACACAATATTATAAGGCACTAGATGCTCAATCAATATTTATTAGTTTAAAGCTACCAGCTTTAGGGGGACTCGGTTTTAAATAGATGAGAAGTGATAAAACACCTGGAGATAGTACTGTCAGCTGAGATAACATGTCATAGAACCAGCTGCTCAGCATAATTGAAATTTCATTCGGATTATATGGGCCTACTTTACACCCATCTTACTATGGTAAATGAGATCATGCTCATTAAGCATTAGGACACTACTTGGTTAGCGCATCTAGGAAACATAACCAGAAATATCAAAGAAATGGCCCAGTAAAATATAAGGGATTGAGACTCTCTGGTTAATATACCATGGAACTAACCCCCCTTTTTTTTCTTTATCATTGATAAATTTTGTTCTTACTTATACTCAAATTGTTTGTTTTCCAAGGTTCAGTCTGAACCTAGTGATATTTATTTCATACTCTTGGAGAATTAATACTGTTACATATCTTCAACTACCCTTTTCATGAATCTTGTCTGCCAAGACAAGCTCGGTCATGGAGACCCTAACCCAGTGGCGCTAGAGGAATTAAAGACACACACAGAAATATAGAGTGTGGAGTGGGAAATGAGGGGTCTCACAGCCTTCAGAGCTGAGAGCCTTGAACAGAGATTTACCCACTTATTTATTGACAGCAAGCCAGTGATAAGATTTACTGAAAGTATTCCTTACGGGAAATAAAGGGATGGGCCGAAATAAAGGGATGGGCTCTGGCTAGTTATCTGCAGCATGAACATGTCCTTAAGGCACAGATCGCTCATGCTATTGTTTTCTGCCCTGGGTGGGCCAGGTGTTCCTTGCCCTCATTCCAGTAAACTGACAACCTTCCAGCGTGGGCGTCAAGGCCATCATGAGCATGTCACAGTGCTGCAGAGATTTTGTTCATGGCCAGTTTTGGGGCCAGTTTATGGCCAGATTTGGGGGCCTGTTCCCAACACTTGTCAAAATCTGTCTTCCCATTCCAAATTCTTTTCCATTATTGAAATATCATTGTTTCTGTTGGAAATATTTTTCCAAGTAGATGTCTTATTATCATCTTAAATACAGATCATCCAAAACAGAAGTCATCTGAAACTTTCCTAATTTTTCCTTTCAATCATAAATATGAAGCCTTAAGAACAATTAATAATGCATGATCCTTAACCTCATGGAACATCAATCAGTTGATAAAAAAACAGCCAAACAACTAAAAATAATACAAGGACTTATATATTCATATGTGTATGTGTTAGGAATTGTAAGAACTCAGACTAGAGTTGAGCAATTTCTTAACAGAGGCAGTAGAATTCTTAGTCACTCCAGCCATCACACCCTGCAAGTTGATCTCACCATCAGTCTGCTGCTCATTCCTACTTCCTCTACTCTGTTCCTTTCCTTTCTGAATCTTTCTCATCCTTTATTGTCCAATTTAAGCCCCATGTTAAATACAGTGAGTTCTAAATTTCTCTTCAAAGAATCAGTATGTCAGTATGTTCAGTTCTTTGTTCTCCACTTTAAAGTTTAACCTCATCTCCTTGCCCCTAGTTTCAGTAAACAACCTTTTCCACCAGTTCCAATCAGTAGTTCACATCTATTCCCCTGGTCACCTGCTCTGTCCTGAGTCACCCCTGGTCATCTGCTCTGACCTGCATCACCTTTAATCGCCTGTTCTGTAACCGTCCTTCCCACTGAAACTGCTCACCCCGCCACTGTGGTTCATACCCCTGCTTTCTTTAAAACAGCCAGTTGGAATTAGCTTAGACTATGCAGTCCAACCCTAGCCAATAGGGGAACGACATAGCAGTAGGGACTACCTGCGTCAGAGATAAGAACCCCTTCCTCTCCCTTGATCAGGTATGCTCTCACCATTGCTCCATCTGCGAGACACACCTTTCTATAGAAGCAAAATTGCCTTGATGAGAAAATTCATGTTCGAGTGCTATTTCTTTTGCTGCACCGAAAATTTATTTCTAATACCCACCACCTCTAGGAAATACCTTCTACCATTCACAGTCTCTTCCCACCTCAGGACCGTTAGAACATTCAGTATCTCCACCATAAACTCATTTTATACTTCAACATTCAACATTTAACAAACATGTACAATGTATATGTCATGTGAAACGTTTTCTCATTTAAATCTTTTGTATCCATGTTTTATAATTTCTTCCCAACTAGTTCTTCCCACTGAATTTATTTCTTTCTCTCCCGCATCCTTGTCAAATCTTTTCTATTCTTCAAACTCAAAGACTTTTTGTTTAATCCATTAAGCTGTATATTAGAATACAGATTTTCCAGGCATATACTATACTGACCAAGTTACCATCTCTAGGAGCAGGCCCCTAGTCTGCATCTCCAGAGGTAGGGCCCAAGAACCTGTTTCTACCAAAGATCCCATATGATGATTAGGCAGCAAGCCCAGTGTCATATTCAGACTTTCTTGTAAACCATTGCTGTACAACTTCTAGCCCAATGCTTTGCTTGTGATAAGATTCTTAATAAAATGTGTGTTATTGCATCAGTCAGTAGTCAACTTAGTGAAATGTTTAGTAAAAGAACCTCAGGCCGGGCACGGTGGCTCACACCTGTAATCCCAGCAATTTGGGAGGCTGAGATGGGCAGTGGGCAGATCACAAGGTCAGGAGTTTGAGACCAGCTTGGCCAACATGGTGAAACCACATCTCTACTAAAAATACAAAAAATTAGCCAGGTGTGGCGGTGTGCATCTGAAATCCTAGCTACTCAGGAGGCTGAGGAAGGAGAATCACTTGAACCTGGGAGGCGGAGGTTGCAGTGAGCCGAGATCGCGCCATTGCACTCCAGCCTGGGTGATAGAGTAAGACTCCCTCTCAAAAAACAAAAAAAAGAACCTCATACTTGCATGAATACAGTGGCCTCTATCTTTTCATATTGCCACCCACCCTAGAAATGAAGAACATATTCATCTCCACAGTGTTTAGCAGGTCATTCTGCTCAGAAGAATTGACTCCTCTTCAGTGACTCCCCAGTGCCTAAAAGATAAACTCCAAATTCATGAACTTCACAGTTGATGTTTTCTACAATAACATCTCCAAGCTTTGCCTCTATAATTTTCTTATACAAACCTACTAAACGTTTTGCTTTCCCTCTTCTGTATTCCTACTCTTACCCAATTGTTCAGACTGTTTCTCTGTTCGTAATTTCCTATTTCTTTCCCTCCCACATCCTAGTCAAATCTTTTCTATTCTTCAGAATTTCATGTTTGCATTAAGCTTCCCTTGACCATTGCAACCATCTGTATTTTTCTCATCTCCTATTTTATGAAGCACTTCTATCATTTTTCTTTTTTATCCTTATTTTCTCTGTGACTTTTAAAATTTAATAACATGTACATTGTTAATATTTAGCATTACATTTAAGTTTATTGTTTCTAATTTATCTTATTTTTAAATTTAAAAATTAAGCTATCTTGAAGTAGAAATCATTAACAGTTGTATTCTAGAAACCAAGTATGTCAGTGCTTTTGCATATAGTAAATGCCCAGTAAATTTTTGTGTAATGGAGAATGACGATTTTTATTATGTGGTCTTTCATCTTCTTAGACAGTAATAGTAACTTTTGATCCCTCAGGAGGACTCTTGAAACTAAAGAAGACCCTTTCCAAAGCAGTTCTGATAATATATTCTATCCACAGATGGCTACAGAACCAAAGAAAGCTGCAGCCCAGAACTCTCCAGAGGATGAAGGACTTCTGATAGTGAAGATAGAAGAGGAAGAATTTATCCATGGGCAGGACACTTGCTTACAGAGAAGTGAACTCCTTAAGCAGGAGCTCTGCAGGCAGCTTTTTAGGCAGTTCTGCTACCAGGATTCTCCTGGACCTCGCGAGGCACTGAGCCGCCTCCGGGAGCTCTGCTGTCAGTGGCTGAAGCCAGAGATCCATACCAAGGAACAGATTCTGGAACTGCTGGTGCTAGAGCAGTTCCTGACCATCCTGCCAGGAGATTTGCAGGCCTGGGTACATGAACATTACCCAGAGAGTGGAGAGGAGGCAGTGACCATACTAGAAGATTTGGAGAGAGGCACTGATGAAGCAGTACTCCAGGTGCACAGGGGATGGGAGATCTAAGACCTCCATAATGGATAAAGTTCCACGGTGGGAGGAGAGGCCCGAGATTGCATATCTAGCTTGCAGGAGCTGTTGGTTCAGTGTGCATTTATGTCTCCTTTCCTGTCTGTTTGATTCCACACTACATTTTACAATTAAATCAGACTCGATTCTTCCTTCCCCAGTTTTGCATTTCTATGGGAGTTTCTCTTTGTTGTTAGAAGACGTTTAACACAGGGATTCTTTTATAAGCCCAAATGTACTTTATTTTTCTCAGGTTCAAGCCCATGAACATGGACAAGAAATATTCCAGAAAAAAGTGTCACCTCCTGGACCAGCACTTAATGTCAAGTTACAGCCAGTGGAGACCAAGGCCCATTTTGATTCATCAGAACCCCAGCTCCTATGGGACTGTGGTGAGGGGCAGAATGCCATATAGTGCACATCACTAAAGAAACAGGGGAATGAATCTCCCTCCACAAACTAGTCTTGGTAACTGTAGATGGTCCTTTCCTTTATTACCCAATGAAAAGAGAGAACTTGTGGCCAGGTGCGGTGGCTCACTCCTGTAATCCCAGCACTTTGGGAGGCCAAGGCAGGTGGATCACGAGGTCAGGAGATCAAGACCATCCTGGCTAACATGGTGAAACCCCATCTCTACTAAAAATACAAAAAATTAGCCGTAGCACCTGTAGTCCCAGCTACTCGGAAGGCTGAGGCAGGAGAATGGCGTGAACCTGGGAGGCGGAGCTTGCAGTGAGCTGAGACTGCGCCACTGCACTCCAGCCTGGGCGACAGAGCAAGACTCCATCTCATAAAGGAAAAAAAAAAGAGAGAGAGAACTTGTTTTCCTGTGAGTCTTTGGCCAATGGTAGGGGAAAAGATAATTTTGTTCCTTATCCAGAATATTTCCAAAACACAGAACATTTTTATGATATGACCAAATTAAAGGAAATAAAAGTGAATGAGTTGAGAAAATATCATGAAAAGAGAAAAGAAGGAAAAGAAAAAGAAATACATGGACAGAAGCAAAATATGTTCATAGAGAAGTACATATAATGATCAAGAGAAACAGATACATGATGATATACTGAGAAATAGTATATAATTCACAAGTAACATAGACCGTGATCCATATTTTTCCTGTTATGCTCTTGGTCTTATAAAGCTCTTTTACACTTTTATAGAAAGTTAGCTATAGTTCTAGAGACTACTTCCACAGAATACTCATCTCTGTTCTAAAACTCATCTATTTAAAAGATTCATAGATGCAGTATCACTTAAGGTGTGAATTGTCCCTATAGTAAACCCAAGAATAACTTACCGTTAATTTTTTGGTTTGTTTGTTTTGTTTTGTTTTGTTTTTCCTGACACAGAGTCTTGCTCTGTCACCTAGGCTGGAGTGCAGTGGCGTGATCTCAGCTCACTGCAACCTCCACCTCCTGGGTTCAAGCAATTATCCTGCCTCAGCCTCCCGAGTAGCTGAGATTACATGTGCCTGCCACCATGCCCGGCTAATTTTTGTATTTTTAGTAGAGACGGGGTTTCACCATGTTGGCCAGGCTGGTCTCAAACTCCTGACTTCGTGATCCGCCCGCCTTGGCCTCCCAGAGTGCTGGGATTACAGACATGAGCCACGGAGCCTGGCCACAATTAATTTTTAATAAATTTCTACATATTCTGCCTTCAGTTTTGTTCTGGAAACATCTCCATCTGTCGTATATAAAATTGTAAATTTCCCTCACCCCATGAACAGCACTCCCTAACCCTCTTTCCTGCCCTAGCGTATTGTAGACAAAGGACAGCTTATAATAAAGAAGGGCGGTTCAATTCCAGCACAGTATAGAGTGGGATTTGTGAAGACTGGATCATAAATGGATCTTGGAAACCAGGCTTGGGAATTTAGACTTGAACAAAAAAAGAGAGAGAGAGATTCAAGGTTTTTGAGTAGGGTATGAAAGGATGGCAGTGTTTAATGACCATTAGTCTAGTAAGGATCTTTAGGATAACTAGGAAGAAGAAAAGTGCAGAGTCAAAACAGCAAGGAGGCAGTTAAAGTCTAGATAGGAAATGGTAAGGTTCGAGACTATGGCGATGGTAGCAGAAATATAAAGGAAGGGATTTATACAAGGGACACTTAGTGGACAGTGATGACAGAATTTAGAAGACTGATTAACCATGGAATATGAGGAAGAAATAGACAATAGGTGGATGGAAGTTTTCTCACACATACTTCACAGTCACTTATAGCTTTACTTTTCTCTCTTGTGTTCTCATCTGCTTTCTTTGAGGTAGTGCCTCCATTTTCCCTCTAGAAATGTATCATAGACCCAAGGTTCCCAAGATCTGCTGCAGTCAACATTGTAGAGTTCCTTCTCCGTACTCTATCTCCCCCTATCTCTTGAGTTCTTGCTGATGACAATCCTCCCAATCTTTTCTAATATATATGCTTCACGTCTGATTCCTCTCTCTGCCAACCACTGCAGGCATTACTTGCTCTTACCAATGTTTCTTTCATTCCTATCATCCTCTTTCATTCTATCATTCCTCTCATGTGAAAGGTCATATATTAAAGTGGGCATATCAATATGTAACTATCTTGAGCATGCTATAAAATTTTCTTTTCGTGCAGCAAACAGGTAATATTTCCCTTTCTTTTTTATTTTAGATAATGAGAGTGAAAACAGTAGATCCATGCCAAAGCTGGAAATTTTTGAAAAAATTGAATCACAGAGAATTATATCTGGAAGAATCTCAGGATACATATCAGAAGCATCTGGTGAGTCTCAAGACATCTGTAAGTCTGCAGGCAGGGTAAAGAGACAATGGGAAAAAGAATCAGGGGAGTCTCAGAGACTCTCGTCTGCCCAGGATGAAGGTTTTGGTAAAATCCTCACCCACAAAAATACAGTCAGAGGTGAAATAATAAGCCACGATGGATGTGAGAGGAGATTAAATCTGAACTCAAATGAATTCACACACCAGAAATCTTGTAAACATGGTACCTGTGACCAGAGCTTCAAATGGAACTCAGATTTTATTAACCATCAAATAATTTATGCTGGAGAAAAAAATCACCAATATGGAAAATCTTTCAAGAGCCCAAAACTTGCTAAACATGCAGCAGTTTTCAGTGGAGATAAAACTCATCAGTGTAATGAATGTGGGAAAGCTTTCAGGCACAGCTCAAAACTTGCTAGGCATCAGAGAATCCACACTGGAGAGAGATGCTATGAATGTAATGAATGTGGGAAAAGCTTTGCAGAGAGCTCAGATCTTACTAGACATCGGCGAATTCACACTGGGGAAAGACCCTTTGGTTGCAAAGAATGTGGGAGAGCATTCAACCTGAACTCACATCTTATCAGGCATCAGAGAATTCACACCAGAGAGAAACCCTACGAGTGTAGTGAATGTGGGAAAACCTTCCGAGTGAGCTCACATCTTATTCGACACTTTAGAATTCACACTGGAGAAAAACCCTATGAATGCAGTGAGTGTGGAAGAGCCTTCAGTCAGAGCTCAAACCTTAGTCAACACCAGAGAATTCACATGAGGGAAAACCTATTAATGTAAGGAACTTAAATTTGTAAGTAAATGCTGAGGAAATGGCACAATATGAAAAATATTAAATAAAAAATAAATATTGGGCAAGATGGAAGACTGAAAGACCAGTTTCTGGTGTTCAATCTGTGTGTATGTGCTTTCTGTGAGACTGGGGATGTACCCCTTCTTTCATTGACTACTAAAGTCAAACCAAAAGAGCTACATTTAGGGGGGCTAATAGGGTAGTCTATGGCAGTGCAATGTAGAGAAATAGAGACTGTCTGGGGAAATAATCATGATTACAGTGTGGGAAGAAAAGGAAGATTTAGGTAAAGAGACTGATAATCAGTCCTAGTTTATTTTCCTAGTTAGTTTAGCACAAGAAGAGGTCAGCTAAACCCAGGAGTGAAATAGGTTGCACAGTGCACTGCAGAACAGTGTTTTCAGAGCATCCCTTTAAAAACTGAAGACCACAAAACTAAGATGCTCATGTTAAGTTAGAGAGTAATGTCAAATGAGGACATATGTAATGGTGGCATTCCTATATGAGGCCAAAATCTGTGTCCAGAGGTCATACCAGGAAGTAAAAAACCAGAAGAACACCCCAGGGAAGAGGCCAGAATCCAGACATTTAAGTAAGACAGTAAGAGAATAGAATTGAATTAAGGAAAAATTGGGTTAGGAGTGAGAAAAGGTGTTCAAATTGAACTAAACCTCAGAAGTTGGAGGATAGACACAGGATAACCAGGCTTTTACTGGTTTTTGGCACCTTTCTGGGGTAAGTTGATAGGGACTATAAGGAGTTCTCCTAACAGAAACTGACAGTAACAGAAACTGACAGGATTCTCCGGCCCGTGGCAATTGTGGAAGATTACTGAGGAAGTTAGTACTGGAAATAATGGTCCTGAAATGTTATTTCGTTGTTGCTGGCTGCTCTCTACAAAAAAGACTGAGAAGAGAGTATAGAGCGATAGTATATGAAAGAGGGTAGGGAGGAATGATTTAAGTCTTAAACATTCCACAGTATGTAAGGCTTTTACATTATAAAATGTAAACAGGACCTTGATGTTAGATGTATGATAATCTAATGTGAAATGTACAAAATCTCCCACTAAGAGGCTTTATAAGAAATAGCTTAGCATTTATTTTCAATGACTTTAAAAATGTCCTGACGGGATCTAAGTAACACAATATTTGGATTGTTTTTTAAGGTAATGTTGAGCCCACAGTTTTTTACAGGTAGTGTGCTAGTATGTCCTATCTCATTTTGTAACTATTATTTTTCACATTTTATAGATGAGAAAATTGAGCTGTAGTGAAGTTAACTATCTTGCTAAAGATCACATAGTAAGTGGTAGAACCAGGATTTTAACGCACATTTTATTCCAGGGCCCTAGTTCTTAATGCTTAAACTTGATTATGTCACTGAAAATATTCCTATGGGATATAACATCAGAAAAGATAGCGCTTGTACACCACAACTCTAAAGTTGGTGGCGGGGGAAACGGGGAGACCTAGCACCCTTCTAGAAGATTAATCCACCAACATTTCAAAATCTTGTAAGGAGCTGCGACCCGCTAGGACGGGAGCCTACTGCGCCCTCAAACCCCGCGGCGGCTCCCTCCCCGGAGGGGGCGCGTGAGGCCACCACCCAGAGCCTCTTCCTAGAGGAGCCGGAAGCATCGGGAGCCGCGGTACCCGCCCATCTTCCGGCCAGGATGTGTGGTCCTGGTGAGCGATTGTCCTGTGGCGTCCGGGACCGAGTTTGTGGCCCAGGGTTATGTGTGCACTTCACACCTCTGACTTTTTTCAGGGTTCCTATTGATGGTTAGGAGCAGGATTTCGGGGATGAAGGCGGCAGCAGCAAGAGGAGGCTGCGACTGCGGACCCCAGATTCGTCCCCCTCCACCACACACAACGCCAAGACGGGCCCCAGGAGGGCGTGAAGAGAAGACTTCCTTTCCTCTCCTCTCGCCTCCTGGCGCTGGCCGTATGAAGGTGTCTCCCAGAAGCATTAGCAGAGGAGCCCTGTGGGAGAAATGAGGTGTATAGTCACACTTAAATCTGTTTATGCTGTCATTGAACCTCTAAACACAATTGGATCATTTTCTAATGATCAGAAGTGTTATCTGTAGATGTATTTGTAGTGAGACACATTAGCATGCTTGCTTTGGTGTCTTAATTTTATAATATTTGTAGTCAAGCGTCACATTGTTTCTATTGTTAAACTTAAAAAAAGTTTACTCGCAAATGAGAAATGAAGATTATAACCTAGAATGCACAGAATGGCAAGCTACTAACGCATTCAACGAGGGAAGGGTAAAGGCAAGTTTTTATTAACAAAAAGAGAGGTTCACATAAGCTGCTTAGAGACCGTGTTCATTGGTTTCAGAGGCTCAAAGCTGGAGTTGTCAGTTCATTGGTGGAGATGCCATAATTATGCAAGTGTTCTTTCCAGAACATCGTGTCTGAATTACAGCAGTGCTATAAAGAATGTCTACTGATAAACCTTGTCAAAGCAGGAGATGCATGGAGGAAATGAAATGGTTTCTTATGCGGTGTTTAGAAAGTCCTTGGAAACAGTTCTTATCTCAAACATGTAAGCATGAACCTCCTCTCCTTCATGCCATCCCCGCCGTATTTTATCTGGGTCTGACAAAAGTGATTTCATCCTCGTATCTGAAATTTTCAAATCATATTATAAATTGTATGTCTGTCTTACCTAGTTTGTGCTTTCTGTCGCACATGATAAAATTCACCCGAATTGTTCATTTTCCTTTTGAATTGGTGGTTTGAATCAATGAATTTCAAGATAACTAGACGTCTTTAATCTTAAAAAAAAAAGTTCTTAGCAACCTTTTCATTTCTGCGAGTTAGTAATGATTTATTTTGCCTTAGGAGTGACCCAAAAGAAACTTGCTCAAGGACAGCCTCCTTAAAGCAGACTTCCATATACCCCAACCTGCAAAAGAAGACTTTACGTGAAATGTTACAGCCCATAACAGCTGCAGCCTTGACTATTAAATCTCAAAGGGAATAAAAAAGTCGCCTGACAGTTAAAGCAGAGGACTACACTTGGGGCCAAGAATATGGGCTACTTCATATGGAAGAACTCCAGCAACCGGGAGGTAGCTCATCAGAACGTTAGGCATTTCTGCTACCAGGAGACACCTGGACCCTGTAAGGCTGTGAGCTGATTCTGGGAACTTTGCCATCAGTGGCTGAGGCCAGAGACCCACACCAAAGAACAGATCCTGGAATTGCTGGTGCTGGAGCAGTTCTTGACTATCCTGCCAGAGGAGCTCCAAGCCCGGATGTTAGAGCATCAGCCGGAGAACAGAGAGGAAATGGTGATCATATCGGAGGATTTGGAAAGAGAGCTTGATGAAACAGAATATCGGGTGTGATTAAAAGGCACATGAACACCCTAGCCAGAGAAAGAAGCAGCCATACATCCAGGGAAGCAAGGTTGCAGAGCTCAATCTCCACTCCCTCCCGCTTGATATGTAAGTCTCTATGTTTCGTACTCTCATCCTTTCTGGTTAGCTCCTTACTTCTTAAGGGTGGAAGAAGACTGTGTCAGCATTCTTTCTCTATTCTATGCCCTGAGATGTGTTCTCTAAGATGTCTTTTAAAGATAGTAACTGTGGTTCCATCATTGAGTCTTTCACAAGCCCAGCCATATCTAATTGTTCCCAAGTTGCAGCCAGTGCATATGGAATGGGACTGCACTCAGAATATCATCATCAAGCAGCACAGGAGCCACCAACTATTCCTTTCCAGCCAATGAAAAGACAGCTTAAATGGGAATATCCAGAATTCCAGGCCATTCATGAGCAAGGTGAGCATCACAGTCCATCTCGAGAGAAAGGGAGTGGTTGAAAGCTCTGCCAGCTACCCAGGCTGAACAGCATCAGGAGCATCTCAGACATAATCCACCATGCTGAATCAGATGGAAGGTCCATCTCCTGAAGTACTACATTCCAGCTTATGTGGCACCAACAAGACCTGATGCAGAATGGCGTAATGCTGTCCTCCCTCATATCAGCCTCAGCAGGAAGTTGTACACCAGCTTCCGTAATTTCCTTTAAAAAGCTATTCTAGGCCACTGTCATTAAAAAAATACCTTTACTTTTTTGTAATATTTTCATAATATATAATTTCATAGCCCAACCTCTACTACACACTTAGTGCTTTCTCTGTAAAGTAGAATTTACTTTTTTGTCTTAAAATTACCTTTTCTGAATCCCCTGGATCACCTAAATCCATTTTGTACCCTCTTTTCTGTTCCCTTTTAATAGAAGCTACATCATTGACCTGATGTTTTAGACTCATCTAAACATTTTTATTCTTTAGTCCCTGTTGTCTTTAATTCAAACATTACACATAATTCTAAAATATCCCTTAGGTCAGTCATCTTCAGTATTACTTCCTCATTGGACCCATTACTTCCAGCTTCAGTATGCTTGAATTTGTCCTGACTCTCAATAGAAACAAATTATTTTTCTCTTACCTGTCACTTTCCGCATGCTATCTTCAGACCTTCCACTCACTTTCATCCTCCTCTACTTTTAACACTCATTTTTACTCCCATTGCTCAACACAACTCTCTTCTTGATTGTTCCTTTATTCTGTCTCTTCCTTTGCTCAGTGGTATGGACTGAATGTTTGTGGTCCCACCAACAACCCCTAAACAATTTATACATTGAAGCCCTAACCTCCCATGAGTTGGTATTATAGATGGGGCCTTTGAGAGGTAATTAGTTCTTGAGGGCAGGGCCCTGTATGATAGGATTAATGCCCTTTTAAAAGCAGTCACCAGAGAGCTTGATATTTCTCCTATGTGCCCGTGAAGGTAAGGTCTTGTGAGCACAACAGCAAAAAGGTGATCATCTGAAAGCCAGAAGGAGAGCCCTCACCAGAAACCAACCATGTTAGTACCCTGATCTCAACCTCCAGAACTGTGAGAAAATAAATTTCTCTTATTTAAACCACCAGTATAGTATTTTGTTATGGCAGCCCAACTTAACACCACTTCATGTCCCAATTCTGTGGCAATAATGTGCATGAGAGGTCTCCTTCCATTTACCAGCTATCTTATTCCTTGCCTACAAGGAATATATTCTTACAGATATCACAAACAGGGAAGACAGTTATCTGCATGGGACATAGCTTGCTTGCTTAAAGAAAAGGACAGAAGTTTAGTACTAGTGAAGAACCATTTACATTTTCTAAGGGCCATTTTTTCACAGAAAACCATTGTGGGCTCCCAAAAGTACAAGTAACCCAATTTAGTATTTTATTCAAAGTGAAACATACACTTAGGAATAGAATTCATGAAAAATTTTACAAATATAAGATGCATACTCCATTCACAGTGGCTATATCCTAGAAAATCCCTAAGTATTACTCTGTACTATATTTTTTTCCTTAATTTGGGGAAACTTTAGTTACTGAGATTATACCCTTGAGATACGGAGATCTTTATGATTCAAGACGCAGACTTAACTAGCCTAGTTTTCCTTTTCTTTATTCTGGCTCCGCATCTTCCAAATGAGTCTAGTTGGAAACTCTTACCCCTTAGTTTCCTCCCAGTCAGCACCAGTTTAGGGGAGTTAAGGAATTATTTTTCATTTCCAGCTCTGGCTCTAAATAATGTGTCTCCAGCAGTGAAATGTAGGCCAAGATAGCTCTCTGATATGTAGCTCCTATAAAGGAACCCACTTCTCAGAAGCATTGGAAAAGGCAAATTATGAAGGTTCATAATACAATATAATAAAAATTCTTTAGTCATCCACTATTACAGATACTAAGCCAAATTTTAAATTCATACTGTATAACAAATTTGAATTTAGAAATAATTCCTCTTTATTCTTTTCATTTCAACCCAAGGTTACTTACTGATATAGTTCAGATATGTGTCTCCACTCAAATCTCATGTTGAATTGTAATCCCCAATATTGGAGATAGGGCCTGGTGGGAGGTGACTGGATCATGGAAGTGGATCCTTCATGAATGGTTTAGCACCACCTTCTTGGTACTGTTCTCCTGATACTGAATTCTTGTGTGATCTCGTTGTTTACAAGTGTGTGGCATCTCTCCCTTCTCTCTCTTGCTCTTGCTCCTGCCATGTAAGAATCCTGCTCTCCCTCTGCCTTCTGCCATAATTGTAAGTTTTCTGAGGCCTCCTCAGAAGCCAAGCAGATACCAGCATCATGCTTCCTGTACAGCCTACAGAACCATGAGCCAAGTAAACCTCTTTTCTTTATAAATTACCCAGTCTCAAGTATTTCTTTATAGAAATGTGAGAATGAACTAATACACTAACTCTCAAACATAACTTTTTATGTATCCACATCATTTCCTAAAATTTTGTAGAAATCTTAAAATATTATATTTTAATCCCATCTTTCCCATCTGAAAGCACTGACATTCCACATTTTTTCAAGAAAAAATATTTGGTTAGAAACACCGTCAAGTTTGTCTTCTGAGTGTGTACATTTTATAAAGAAAATAAAAAACCTTTTATAATATAAACCCTGGGAAAAGATTTTGGTCCATAGCCTAGAAACACATTTGTAATATGTTGCTTAAGTGAAATTCATGACATTTTAGCATGTATTTTATTCTTGTTTACTTCTTTACTGATATGTCATACACTCTTTTTGTTCTAACATTTTGATTTGGCAGAGCCAATACCCACCTATACTACAACTTTCTTATGCCAGCACAAGAATGCTATATTCAAAATGCTTTCCATGTATTACCTTCTTTTATCCTCAGATATCCTTGGCAGATAGTAGGGCAGATATTACCCTCATCTTATTGAAGAATATTCTGGGTATAAGGAAGTCAAATAACTTGTCAACAGTTACAAGGTTATGAGGTAAAGAAGCAATAATCTCCAAAGCTACAGCTATTCATACAAAGACAATACATAAACCCTTACATTATAAGTGTCTAGTGCACTGCAAAGAAGACTTATGAGTGTTTAGCTAGAAGACTGAAGGAATTCAGGAAATGCCACTCCAAAATATGCCAATTTGGTATATGGGTTAATTCTAGCCAAAGGCACTTGAAAAACAACAAATGTAAGGAGAAGCTTTCTCTGAACTCCCCCTATCTGCCTAAAGACAGATCCTCTAAAAGGAGCTCAGTTGTCATCAATCCCCTCCCTGGGAATTTCATCAACCGGGGAAGATTAACTCTATCACAGGAGAAGAGGCTAGAAGTTGACACCACACCTAGACAAACTTCTTCAAAAACTATTATCTCTTCTTCTGAGGACCCAATAATCTTTCCCAAAAATTATTTCTCCCCTAAATTGCCTATATCTCACCTCCTCTCCCCTGTGAAGTAGAGATGTAAACTCCTGAATCTCACTGGTTGTTTAGGTGTATGCTTTCTTTTCTGTACTGCCCTCATGCACATAATAAAATTGTATATCTTTTCTCATGTTAATCTGCCTGTTGTCAGCTTCTGTCATAGACTCAGTTATCAAATCCTCAGAGGGTAGAGGGAAAGTCTTTTCACCTTACAAGATATTTTGAAGGATCACCTCCATATGAGGACCATCAAGTCAGGAAGAATGTGCCATGTAAGAAGGAAATGACCTTGGAGCTTTCTTTGTGCTCCTTCTGATAGCATCCTTTCCCAAAATGCATTATCCATTGAGAAAGGCCTGAATTCTTAGCAAAATTGGCCCCTATATTTATTCCATTATTAGGGTTTCTTATCTACATGGAAGTTTGATGCCTTATCAGAGCTGAGCTCACCTGAAAACTTCTCTTACATTCATTGCATTCATAGTTTCTCGACTGTGTGAAGTCTCTGGTACTGAATAAGCCCGGCACTTTCATTTAAAGCTTTCCCACATTAAGCTTTCCCACATTCTTTACATTTATAGGACCTCACTTCGACGTAGATTTTCAGGATGAGAGTGTTGAGTAATTACACTTACTAGAATGATAAAGTTTCTCCCAAGAATGAGTTATCTGATACCCAGTTAAGTTGGAAACACTAAATAAAGATTTTCCCATTCACTATAATTATAAGATTTTCCCACTCACTATAATTATAAGTTCCAGGCAAAATTATCCCCACAATTACCACTCGTATGTTTAAAGGCTTCTCTGCAATTGTCCTCCTTGTCAGGTTCCCCATTGAGTCTGCTAGATCTGCACGCCTGGCCTCAAAGATGTGTGACCTATGCAGTCACACAGGCCACAGGGCCCAGTATTCACAAGGGTACTATGTTTAGAGGGCCCTGAGCACAGTTTAGTGCTATGTTGTCACAGTCTTGAAACTCTTAATTTTACCTTTGAACTTGTGTTTTGTAAGTGAGGTAAGCAGAAAAATAGAGCATGCACATGAGCAGAGGCTCTCCATGCAATACGTGTTATCTGTGGTTTCTTGCTGCTCCATTCATGTATGACATTTGTGATCCTCCATGAGCATGGAATTCTGGTGGGTCAACAATGCATCGCAGTTCAGCGAGACTGAAAATGAGTACGAGGAAAGTATTTGAGTAAGCTGGGACACTGACACCCTGGAGAGATCATGCTTTCTGCTGGAACCAGAACTTGCTTTTAAGTCAGAAATCTGTCAATGGCAGGGTCTGAAAAACTGGAGTAGGCCGGGTGTGGTGGCTCACGCCTGTAATCCCAGCATTTTGGGAGGCCGACGGGGCAGATCACGAGGTCAGGAGATCGAGACCATCCTGGCTAACACGGTGAAACCCCATCTCTACTAAAAATACAAACAAATTAGCGGGGTGTGGTGGCGGGCGCCTGTAGTCCCAGCTACGCAGGAGGCTGAGGCAGGAGAATGGTGTGAACCCAGGAGGCGGAGCTTGCAGTGAGCTGAGATCGCGCCACTGCACTCCAGCCTGGGCAACAGAGGGAGACTCCATCTCAAAAAAACAAAAAACATAAAAATAAAATAATAATTTTTTAAAAAGCTATAAAAGTCTTTGTCTCTATTTTTATGTATTCCTGTATACCTATCTGTTTGTATATTATCTACATGGTACCAACTTGACTTATAAATAACTGAGCACTCATAAATTAATAAGCCCAAATTTTTTCAGGTTCATGGGACTTTAGTAACCTTCAGTAAATAAAACTAGTTTTAACGTTGTTGGTAAATTTTCTTTTGTGCTGGTATCTCTAGGAAAAACATTGTTGGTAAAGTAAAAATGTCTTCAGAATTATCAGTATTAAATATAATTCAGACGTTTTGCTTGGGTCTGCTGGTCAGACAGGTTTAGGCTTATCTCTACTAGATGTTTTAAGTCATAAAACTGTTCATTCTGTGATATTCTTCAATACTTGCTCAATTTGTCTGTGAGCATCTGTCTTAGAGCCATTAAATTCTGGGATCTAGACAGGTGGCCATGATAAGGCCTGGGAATATATGTATGATGACAGCACTTGGGCCAATAGCTGCAGGGAAGTGCCAAACAAATATATTCTCCCTGGCCCAGCTGTATCTCCTGGACATGCTAGGAAGGGTTAGTTTCACCAGACAGTATCTTCACAAATCTATCTTTTGTCTTGGACTCTGCATCTGGTACATAACAATGAAAATTGCTTAAATTGCTTACTCGGGATCAGCACAATGGCTTACACCTGTAATCCCGGCACTTTGGGAGGCCAAGACAATAGGATCACTTGCTGGCCTGAGCCCCTACGGGGAGGGGTGGCTGAAGTCTCCACAGACCAGAAGATGTAGACTTTCCTCCTGCTAGTTCTGAAGAATCCAGGCAGACCAAACAAGTGGGCTTCCCCACAGAGAAGCTCACCCCCTCCACCAAGAGACAGTCAAAGTGCTTCGTTTAATGGGTCCTGTTCCCTGTGCCACCCAACTGGGTAAGACCCTGCAAGAGGGGTAGTCAGACACCCTATACAGGAGTGTTCCTATTGGTATCAGTTCGGTGCTCCTTGAGGTCAGAGATCCCAGAGGAAGGAGCAGACACCTATCTTGTGCTCTCCAGCCTCCTTGAGTAACATCTCACCCTCTGTGGGCTGCACCCACTGTCTAACCAGACCCAATGAGATGAACCAGGTACCTCAGTTGGAAAGGCAGAAATCACTCACCTTCTCTGTTGGTCTCACTGTGAGCTGCAGTGAACCAGGCGAATAGGGCCTGAAGTGAACCCCCAGCAAACTGCAGCAGCCCTACAGAACAGGGACCTGACCATTGCAAGAAAAACAAATAGAAAGCAACAACAACAGCATCAACAACAAAAAGAAAACTCCCCACAAAATCCCATCCAAGGGTCAGCAGCCTCAAAGGTCGATACTAGACAAATTCATGAGGATGAGAAAGAATCAATGAAAAAATGCTGAAAACCCAAAAGGCCAGAGTGCCTCTTCTCTTCCAAATGATTGCAGTGCCTCTCCAGTAAGGGCACAGAACTGGACAGAGGATGAGATGGACAAATTGACAGAAGTTGGCTTCAGAAGGTGGCTAATAACAAACTCTGCTGAGCTAAAGGAGCATGTTCTAACCCAATGCAAAGAAGGTAAGAACATGATAAAAATATACAGGTGCTGCTAACTGGAATAACCAATTTAGACGGAAACATAAATGACCTGACGGAGCTCACAGCATGAGAAGTTTGTGAAGCATACGCAAGTATCAATAGCCAAATCAACAAGCAGAAGAAAGGATATCAAAGTTTGAAGACTCTCTTGCTGAAATAAGGCATGCAGACAAGATTAGAGAAAAATAATGAAAAGGAATGAACAAAACCTCCGAGAAATATGGGACTATGTAAAAAGATCAAACCTACGATTGATTGGAGTATCTGAAAATGATAGGAAGATTGGAACCAAGTTGGAAAACACACTTCAGGATATCATCCAGGAGAACTTCCCCAACCTAGCAAGACAGGCCAACATTCAAATTCAGGAAATACAGAGGACACCACTAAGATACCTGACGAGAAGATCAACCCCAAGACACAAAATCATCAGATTCTCCAAGGTAGAAATAAAGGAAAAAAATGTTAAGGGCAGCCAGAGAGAAAGGCCAGGTCATCTACAAAGGGAAGCTCATCACACTAACAGCAGACCTCATTCAGGAGAAAGTTGTTCAATTTCCATGAGTTGTGTGGTTTTGAGTGGGTTTCTTAATCCTGAGTTCTAATTTGATTGCACTGTGGTCTGAGAGACTGTTATTATTTCAGTTCTTTTGCATTTGCTAAAGAGTGTTTTTCTTCCAATTATGTGGTCGATTTTAGAATAAGTGCCATGTGGCACTAAGAAGAATGTATATTCTGTCAATTTGGGGTAGAGAGTTCTGTAGATGTCTCTTAGGTCCACTTGATCCAGAGCTGAGTTCAAGTCCCAAACATCCCTAATTAACATCGATGCAAAAGTCCTCAATAAAATACTGGCAAGCCAGATCCAACAGCACATCAAAAAGGTTATCCACTCTGATCAAGTTGGCTTCATCTCTAGGATGCAAGGCTGGTTCAACATATGTAAATCAATAAACATAATCCTTCACATAAACAGAACCAATGACAAAAAGCACATGATCATCTCAATAGATGCAGAAAAGTCCTTTGATAAAATTCATCTCTTCATGTTAAAAACTCTCAATAAACTAGGTATTGATGGAATATATCGCAAATAATAAGAGCTATTTATGACAAACTCACAGCCAATATCATACTAAATGGTCAAAATCTGGAAGCATTCACTTTGAAAACTGGCACAAAACAAAGATGCCCTCTCCCACCACTCCTATTCAACATAGTATTGGAAGTTCTGACCAGAGCAATCAGGCAAGAGAAAGAAATAAATGGTATTCAAATAAAAAGAGAGGAAGTCAAATTGCCTCTGTTTGCAGATTGACATGATTGTATATTTAGAAAACCCCATCATCTCAGCCCCAAAACTCCTTAAGCAGATAAGCAACTTCAGCAAAGTCTCAAGACACAAAATCAATGTGCAAAAATCACAAGCATTCCTATACACCAATAATAGACAGAGAGCCAAATCATGAATGAATTCCCATTCACAATTGCTAAAAGTAGAATAAAATACCTAGGAAAACAGCTGACAAGGGATGTGAAGGACCTCTTCAAGGAGAACTATAAACCACTGCTCAAGAAAATAAGAGAGGACACAAAGAAATGAAAAAAAAAATTTCCTCCTCATAGATAGAAAGAATCAATATGTGAAAATGGCCATACTGCCCAAAGTGATTTATAGATTCAATGATATTCCCATCAAACTACCACTGACATTCTTCACAGAATTAGAAAAAACTACTTTAAATTTAATATGGAAACACAAAAGAGCCCATATAACCAAGAAAATCCTAAGCAAAAAGAACAAAGCTGGAGGTATCATGCCTACCTGACTTCAAACTATATACTACAAGGCTACAGTAACCAAAACAACATGGTACTGGTACCAAAACAGACATATAGACCAATGGAACAACACAGAGACCTCAGAAACAACACCACACATCTACAGCCATCTGATCTTTGACAAACCTGACAAAAACAAGCAATGGGGAAAGGATTCCCTATTCAATAAATGGTGCTGGGAAAACTGGCTAGCCATATGCAGAAAACTGAAACTGGGCCCCTTCCTTACACCTTGTACAAAAATTAACTCAAGATGGATTAAAGACTTAAGTGTAAAACCCAAAACCATAAAAACACTAGAAGAAAACCTAGGCAATACCATTCAGGACATAGGCATGAGCAAAGACTTCATGATGAAAACTCCAAAAGCAATTGCAACGAAAGCCAAAATTGACAAATGGGATCTAATTAAACTAAAGAGCTTCTGCACAGCAAAAGAAACTATCATCAGCGTGAACAGGCAACGTACAGAATGGGAGAAAATGTCTGCAATCTACCCATCTGACAGAGGTCTAATATCCAGAATCTACAAGGAAGTTAAACAAATGTACAAGGAAAAAACAACCCCATCAAAAAGTGGGCGAAGGATATGAACAGACACTTCTCAAAAGAAGACATTTATGTGGCCAACAAACATAAGACAAAAAGGTTCAACATCACTAATCATTAGAGAAATGCAAATCAAAACCACAATGAGATAGCATTTCATGCCAGTCAAAATGGCGATTATTAAAAAGTCAAGAAACAACAGATGCTGGCGAGGCTGTAGAGAAATAGGAACGCTTTTTACACGTGGGAAGGTAAATTAGTTCAACTGCTGTGGAAGACAGTGTGGTGATTCTTCAAATATCCAGAACCAGAAATACTTATTGACCCAGCAATCCCATTACTGGGTATATACCCAAAGGAATATAAATCATTCTACTATAAGGACACATGCACACATCTGTCTATTGCAACACTATTTACAATAGCAAAGACATGGAACCAACCCAAATGCTCATCAATGATAGACTGGATAAAGAAAATGTGGCACATAGATACAGTGGAATACTATGCAGCCATGAAAAGAAATGAGATCATGTCCTTTATGCAGGGACATGGATGAAGCTGGAAGCCATCATCTTCAGCAAACTAACACAGGAACAGAAAAACAAATACTGCATGTTCTCACTCAGAAGTGGGAGTTGAACAATGAGAACACATGGACACAGAGGAGAGCATTACACATGGGGGCTTGTCAGGGGATGGGGGCAAGGGGAGGGATAGCATTTGGACAAATAGCTAATGCATGCGGGCCTAAAACCTAGATGACGAGTTGATAGGTGCCGCAAACCACCGTGACACACACACATCTTTGTAACAAACCTACATGTTCTGCACTTGTATCCCGGAATTTAAAGTAAAATTTTTTAAAAAATGGTTGCTTTAAAGTGAAAGGATTAAAAAGAATAATAAACTGAGTGGATGCAGGAATTTGGGGAAAGAGAATAGGAAAAATTGTAAAAGGTTATACAAAGTTTGTGGAAATCTTATCTTGCATGGTCAAAGCTGATGAGAATAGATGGATCTGTTTATAAGGTATTATTAAAATTAGGTTTAATATTAACAATGCACTGATACAAAGTAGAATTTTATTTTCTTGCTTGAACAATATAGTATTAATAAGAGATATAAGACTAGTGTTCATCTTTTGAATAAACTGTTAAAAATTTAAAAAGGAGAGAGAGAGACAGATTCTTGTTTGAAAAACTGAATCTCCTCTCTTTCAAAGAGTAAAGGTTTACGCTTTTTGAAATATTTCAATTATCACTTTGGCTAAATAAATGATTATTATGACCTGTGATCTTAGTTTTGATATCAAAGGTTTTAAGACTTTGATATTTGACATAATTCCCAAAATCAAATTTCAAATTCTAAAATTAAGTATTTTCTATAAGGAATGCCTGATAGTCCAAGAGAGACATATTAGGCTTATTTGGTTAAAATCACACAGGAAACACTGTCAAATAAGAAATGGCATTTAACTTTTGTTGATTAGAAGATGTGGGAAAAGGCAAAAAAAAAAAAAACCCAAAACTTTCAGTCACATTTGTATAAATGTGTTATTAACATGTGTTCCGAAATTGTATATTCCTAAATTCTGATGTGTCTTGGTATATGTTATCAGTCATAATTATGATTATGGCAAATTTTGTAGGCTACAGAAATAACCAGATTTTCTTGTTAATTGTGTGTTTAACCATGGCTACTCTAAGCCTTTTGCCATCCACAGACAATTATTGTCTTACTTTACTTCTCAAAAAGTGATTTACAATTCGCTACAGTCTAAAATTTTATTTTCCTTAAAGGAAATTCATGGAAAGGACACTGCCAAGTACTCTTGAATGCAGGTTTCTGATAACTTTGGAAATCACACCACTGGACTAGCTAAAAACTTCCAGAACTCTTAAAAAAAAAAAAACTGATGGATTCATGAAGATTACTAACCCAACATCAAGCAGAACAAGAATTAATAACATGGGCCTAACCTAATAGAGGACTGCATTTATCTTTTATGACTTTTTGTTTGAAACAATTCTGATTCTTTCTACATTTGTTTTCCAGAGTCAAGAAAAAATTCATTTTTATTTTGAGCCATTTATGGTTACAGTGATTGGGAAAAGTGTACTTTTGTGAGAAAACTGAAACTCCAGGTCGGTGGACAGAAATGAAGTCTGGGGAGGTTCCCGCCTGCCGACCTGAGCGGGGAGGACTGACGGACTCAACGCTGCGAAGCTGGAACTCAAACCCTTTCTTTCGGATGAGACAAGTTGTGAAACAAAACCCCATGCCCAAGTGACCCCATTTGGAGACTCCGCGGCGCGCACTGGGGACCCCACACGCTGCACACCTCTCTGAAGCCGCTGGAAGCTGGGGCGCAAGGCCGGAAGGGGTTCGCAGACGCACTTCCGCCAGCGGCCAGGCAGGGCGCAGAGGAGCTAGTTAGAGCTGGGCTGGAGCTGCCACCCAGCCCAGGTAGTAAGACTGGCAGGAAGAGAGCAGGACGCCGCCGCCCGAGTCCCCCAGCTCAGCCAGGTGCGGGCGGGAGGAGCCCCGTCCTTGCTTAGCCCCGCGCTGGAAGCGCCGTCCGAGACACTGCACGGGGCAGACTGGTGGGTGTCCCGGCCCTGGCACCGCGGGGTTGCCCTAGCCAACCGGAGCCCAGCTCCCCCACGCGGGCCGGACGTTTCCCCAGACGTTGCGAAGTCCGACTCTGGTTCACAGATGCCGACCTGGTCGGTCTATGCGGACCACCCTTTTCTCCAACGTGACCGCCGACTATTGGAAGTTTTTTGTGATCTGTCAGGCCCTGATGGCTTAAGGAACATAGCCAGATCTTCCCGAGTCCGAGGCTCGTTATGGTTGTCCACTGATGATCTGCCATTTCGTTTATGTTACAGAATAAACAGGGAAAGTGTTTGTAGTCTGGTTGGTTAACACTGTATTTTGCCTTATTCTTTCAAAGATCTAAACTAGTGGAAGGCAACCTGTAGAACCCGCTTCCATGTCCTTTATCTTGAATGATTCCTGAAACAGCCTTTCTCCAAACCTGCTCCAGAAGTCCCTGAATTAATCCTTAGAGCCCAGGAAGTGAAGATGTCTTTCAAAGATGCCGATTGGGTAACAGAAGCTAAGCACAGAGAAGGCAGTAGAGGGCCTTATTGCGTGGTCCTAAGTTGTGTGCCAAAAAACAGAGAAGTGTCCCTGAGCACCAGGTGTGGTCTCCCCTGCCAGCCCCTCGATGACCAGGTCATAAAGATAACTGCAATCCTTTACTGAGGTCTTACTAAGTGCTAGGCACTGAGTCTAATGCTTTCCAGGCACTGCATCTAATGCTTTTTGTAATTTTTCTTAAAAAAAAAACCCTATATTATCAGGTCTGTGGTTTAATCACATTGTACCAATACTATTTTTTGGCCTTGCAATTGTGCTATGGTTATGTAAGATTTTAATATAATAGGAAGCTGGGTGAAGGATATAGGGACTGTTCTATACCTTTTTGGAAATTTTCTGTAAGTTTAAAATTAGTTCAAAATAAAAAGTTACAAACAAAATTAGAAGCTTGTTTTTAACGGCAGAAAAGGAATAAAAATTTAGAGATTAAGCCACTACACATAAGAGAATGTGACAACATTCGAGCCCAGGGCTTTTGGAATCCTCAGCCCATGCCCTTCACCACTGCCCACCATGTTAATCCTGGGTAACAGATAGGCCCTGCCTAAATCAGTTACGCACACAGCCCCCTACCTATGTTAACATAATTTTACTATTCAACTGTCTTTGCTAATGTGATACTACTATTCCACTGTCTTTATCAACATGACTTTACTATTCCAGGACATTATTGCTGTAGGAGATAAAAATTGCAAATAATTATTTTTGTTTCAAGAACTTCCCCCTCAAAAAATCTATTTAAATGAACATCAAATTCTTCAACTTTCAATAATTAGTATCCAGACTTTTTGAAACCCTCACCTCAAAACCTTCATCTTAATGAATGTGTCCATCAATCTTAAATTATTGTATCACCATCCTTGCCCAGTCCTAATTCTGCTTTGAAAGATCAGCATCACACCATCACTGGCCATCAGAGAAATGCAAATCAAAACCACAATGAGATACCATCTCACACCAGTTAGAATGGCAATCATTAAAAAGTCAGGAAACAACAGGTGCTGGAGAGGATGTGGAGAAATAGGAACACTTTTACACTGTTGGTGGGACTGTAAACTAGTTCAACCATTGTGGAAGTCAGTGTGGCGATTCCTCAGGGATCTAGAACTAGAAATACCATTTGACCCAGTGATCCCATTACTGGGTATATACCCAAAGGACTATAAATCATGCTGCTGTAAAGACACATGCACACATATGTTTATTGCGGCATTATTCACAATAGCAAAGACTTGGAACCAACCCAAATGTCCAACAATGATAGACTGGATTAAGAAAATGTGGCACATATACACCATGGAATACTATGCAGCTATAAAAATGATGAGTTCATGTCCTTTGTAGGGACATGGATGAAATTGGAAATCATCATTTTCAGTAAACTATCGCAAGAACAAAAAACCAAACACTGCATGTTCTCACTCATAGGTGGGAATTGAACAATGAGAACACATGGACACAGGAAGGGGAACATCACACTCTGGGGACTGTTGTGGGGTGGGGGGAGGGGGAAGGGACAACATTGGGAGCTATACCTAATGCTAGATGACAAGTTAGTGGGTGCAGCGCACCAGCATCGCACATGTATACATATGTAACTACCCTGCACATTGTGCACATGTACCCTAAAACTTAAAGTATAATAATAATAAATTAAATAAAAAATAAAAAAAAGAAAGATCAGCATCAAACCTTTCAAATCTTGTAAATATCCTGACTTTGCCTTCCTCCCTCAGAGATGCTACTAGGACTCTGTCAAGGTAGTGCTTTTTATCACCCACAAGAATAAACTTCATTTTGCCTTACCAACATTGTTTTGTTGTTATTTTTGGGAAAAAGCATCCAACAATTTTCTCAGGACTGTCAAAACTGCTGTTTCTTGACAAACATTCCTTCTATTTGAGAAAAGGTTTGAACTGTTTTATACTTTTATTTTTTGAACTATAGTTTCTGTTACCTTAGGAGTGTGCTTTAACATAACACTTACAGCAGCAATCCTCTTAGCCCATTGGAGCTAGAATGCCCACTGTGTCCCTTCCATGGGCTCCTGAAGAGACAAAGCAGCTCTTTGAAACAAACAACAAATAAAGCCTTGCCATGAAGCAGGGATCCAGCCCAAAAAGGAGTAGCCCAAACAAACAGTAGTTATTCGGCCAGCGTTTCTGACAGTTCTGATACAAGGAGACTCCTGGGCCCTGTGAGGCCTTGAGCCAGCTCTGGAAGCTCTGCTGTGAGTGGTTAAGGCCTGAGATTCACACCAAGGAGCAGATGTTAGACTTGCTGTTGCTTGAGCTGTTCCTGGCCATTCTGCCCGAGGAGCTCCTGGCCTGGATGCATGAGTATCATCCAAAGAATGGAGAGGAGGCAGTGGTTTTGCTGGAGGTAAGAAAGGGTCCTATACACTTGGGTAGAACAGCCTGGAGAGGGTGTCCAAGCTGGTCCTTTGTGGGATCTCTGGGGATCATGTACACTGTCGCCCCTTCAGATGCCCAAATGAGCCTGCTTGTCCTCAGGTTTCAGCCCAGGCCCATGTGCAGGAAGTGCTTTCTTTTTTTTCTTTTTTTTTGAGACAGAGTCTCACTTTGTCGCCCAGGCTGGAGTGCGGTGGTGCGATCTTGGCTCACTGCAACCTCCGCCTCCCAGGTTCAAGCAATTCTCCTGCCTCAGCCTCCCAAGTAGCTGGGACTACAGGCGTATGCCACCATGCCCAGCTAATTTTTTTGTACTTTTAGTAGAGAGGGGGTTTCGCCATGTTGGTCAGTATGGTCTCGAACTCCTGACCTCAAATGATCCACCTGCCTCGGCCTCCCAAAGTGCTGGGATTACAGGCGTGAGCCACTGCGCCTGGCCAGGAAGTGCTTTCTGAGACTTCAGTGCCTCTCAATCCTTCTGTGGAGACTCAGCTTAAAAGTGACTCTCAGGACTCTCAACAGCAAAAGGATTGTGATTAGTGTTGACACTTGTGTCATATGGCTCCCTTGGAGACCTTAGAATCATCCATCATTTGGCAAATATATATTACTTTTTATGTGCTAGGTACTGTTCAAGGCTCTAGGAATAGTGAACAAAGCAGAAATGATCTTTGCTTTCATGGAGACAATCTTATGACAGAGGTACTAAACACGCAAATAAATATACTGTGACAGATTGTATATGGAGAGAGAGTGTAGTCAGGAAGGTCTCTTTGAGGAAGTAATATGGGAGCTGAATCTTAAAAGTGATGTAGAAATTAGCTAAGTGAATAATAGAGAGGAAAGCATTCCAGACCACAACAGCATGTGCAAAAACTGGAGTGGGAAAGAAATTGGTGGGTTTGAGGAATTGAAAGAAAACCAGTGTGACTGGAGCGTGGACACAGAGACCTAGAGAAGAGGTGGTCAGGGGCCTGGACATGAGAGCTTTGTGGCTCCTGTTAAGAAGTCAGAAAATGTCAGCTACTCAGGAGGCTGAGGCAGGAAGATCGCTTGAGTCCAAGTGTCTGAGACCAACCTGGGCAACATAGCGAGACTCCAGTCCCCCCACCAATACGTCAGTAAATATTTAGCTTTCACAGTGTGTAAAACCTAGCTTTGGTGTCTATGAGGGTCCCTGCCCTAAAGGAGTTGGGTACCAATAAAAAGATTGCCTCATTTGAGGCAGTGAACGATTGCCAAATCAGAGATAACAGTTCTGAGAAGGGAGAAATCTGTCTTTTCAGGCCCTCATGGTGGTGTTAGTGGAATGATTGGAATTTGAACTGGATCATAAAGAACTGGTAACATTTCACTGGGCAGACAGCATCAGGAATGATGTACCTCATACTTACCCCTCTTCTAGCTCTCTGTCCCTCTATTATCTTCTTCCATCACATTAAGACTTGTAGTCATTCATCCCTTTTTTCCTCTCAATGTTTCTTTCCTTCCCTGCCCCATCAGACCCATGGTACATTTCAGTTTTTTGCAAATATGGCCAACATTTTTCCACCCCGCTGCCACATACTCACATGAACACACACACCTCCACCTTGTTGAACTAGTATTGTAAAATACCACCTCTGACCAAACCTTCTCCCTTGTTCTGCCAACCCAATTCATAGCTATTCTTCAAGATTCAACTCAGCTGTCACCTTCTTTAGGAAGCCTTTCTTGATACCCTCCCACATGTTTGAGTTATATGATGCACCTTGTGCATATTTCTGTCATAGCATTAGCATACTATATTACTGCTTCACTTGTCTGAAGTTCCTGTTTATCCCCCACAACTGATATGTAGAAAATGCTCAGTAAAGGTGAATGATGAGGTCTGAGCAGAGGAATAATGTGGAAAAGTACAAATAATGATAAGAGGATGGGAGTGTATCAGCTTGGCTGAGACTGAGTAGCCAATAGAGGAAGAATGCTAACAAGGTGGTCTGGAACAAAACTGTAGAGAGCCTATTTTTATTTTCTTCTTTTCTTGAGATGGGGGTTTGGTTTGGCTGTGCGTCCCCACCCAAATCTCATCTCGAATTGTAATCCCGTGTGTCCAGGGAGAAACCTGGTGGGAGATGACTGGATCATGGGGGCAGTTTCCCCCATGCTGTTCTCGTGATAGTGAGGGAGTTCTCATGAGATCTGATGGTTTTAAAAAAGTAGCAGTTTTCCTTGCGCACTTTCTCTTTCCTGCCACCTTGTGAAGAAGGTACTTGCTTCTCCTTAACCTTCCACCATGATTGTAAGTTTCCTGAGGCATTCCCAGGCATGCAGAACTGGGTCAATTAAGCCTCTTTTGTTTGTAAATTACCCAGTCTCAGGATCTTTATAGCAGTGTGAAGATGGACTATATATACAAGCAGGAACTAACACGTGCCCTGTAAACTAGATATAAGCTGGATTGCAGAGGGAGGAGAAAAAGGACCACTTTGAAGACTATTGCTATAGTTCCAACTCAACATTATGAGGGCCAACAGTAGGGCAGTTTCAGGAGGTGGATGGAGAGGGAGAGAGAGATGTAGCTAGATCGCTTGTCCTAAAGCTCCAGAGGGTACTGGAAAGAGGACAGAATGGCTCTTTTTAACACATCTCCTGGCTTCAGTAAGGATCCAGGGTATCAGGGTTGGAATCTTCCTAAGTCTGATGGGTGGAAATGATGCTCACTTTCCCAAAAGAAAATGAAAAACATCATTTTTGGAAATAGTGTCATCTAAAAAATATGAGCTATGTTTTCTTCATTATGGTCTTCTTTGTTATACCTAGGGAGGACTTTTAATGACTATAGGATACGTCTTACCTATAGGGGTATGTTTGTTCATTCATTTTGAAATGCATGTTTTCCAAATTTTCTAGTAATAGCATTATTAGAAAATAAGGTGTTCCGCATGCTAGGGTTTCCCTAAATAGCTGAGGCTTGCCATTTGTTGGTCAAACTTTATTATTTAATGGGCAACTTACTGAGATGTATAACATATTCTTGGAGTAGGGTGAACACAAATGATCCTTTTCATGAAGATTTAAATTAATTATAATTAATTTAATTAATAAAACTATTGTTCATAATTTAGAAATTAATATTTATAAATTATGGACACTAGTGCTCACTCTGGCCTGCAAATCACTGCTGCCCTTAGAGGCTCTAGGTAGGTAGGTCTATCAGATTTATCCTAAAATGGTAGCAGACTGCCATATTAATAGATAGCAGGTGTAGAATTTAAATAGTCTGTCTCCAGAGCCCATGTTCTTAACTCCATAGTAGAGATGGAATGTAAAAATGTGAGAGAGGTGAAGAGTTAGGAAAATGAAATTGGAAAGGTAAGCAGGGGCAGTCTCACATCAGAGTGATGTGATTGTGCATCTGGATGACTTTAAAAATTTATCAGTGGCGGGCCTCACCCTCAGAAACTGGATTTTCTTTAGACAAGAGTGGGGCCCAGGCATGGGCTTGCTTTTTTTTCTTAACTCTCCAGGTGTAGCTAGGGTCGAGAATCCCAGTTCTAGGATCATGAAGGGCTTGTATGCTCAACAGATGAGTTCTTTAATAGTAAATTAAATTGTTTTGATAATTTTTATCAATTTCTGAGGTCACCATTCTTGTATACTAACACCTTTCCTCTGGGTTCACTCTTGTTGAAGTCTATCCTTTAAAACTTACTTTAGTGAGGTTCTTTGGGTGGTGGACTGAGCTTTTGCCATGTTTGAAAGTTCTCTTATTTTGCCCTTCCTTTGAAATAATGACTTAGCTGGGATAAAATTCTAAATTGACTTTTTTTCCCTTAGCCTTTTGAAGATACTATTAATACTTCACTGTCTTCTAGCTTCTATTGTTTGCTGGCAAAAAGCTACTGGCAGTCTAAATGCCTTTAAAAAAAGATTCAATTTTTTCTCTTTAGTAGCTTTTTAAATTTACTCTTAACTTTTATGCTCTGAGTTTCACTAAGTATGTCCAATACGTTTTATTTTTGTTCATCTCGCTTGGCCTATAAATGCACTTTTGCTCTAATACCCATGTTTTTCTTCAATCTGGGGAATTCTCAGCTATGAGTTCCTTAAATAAGCATCTTTTTAATTCCTTATATTATTGTCTGCTGGAGCTTCCAACATGTACTCATTAGAACCACTTATCAATCATCCATTCTACTTAACTGCTTTTTCATATGTTTTATGTCTTTGTCTCTCTACGGTACATCCTAGTGGATTCTTCTTCTACTATCTTCCAGTTTATTCTCCCTTTCGCTGTCTTCAGCTTATCCATTTCATTGAAGATTTTATTTCAAAAATGATTATTTCTAAAATTTCTATTTAGTTTTCATAGCAATTATCCTTGTTCTGCTTGTTTCATAATTGTATGTTTATTTGCCATGGATGGTATGTTATCATTTGTCTTCTTTTCCCATATCTTTAATCTATTAATTTCATCAGGCTGTTTGATGAAAGTAATTTCATGTGGATTGAATTCATGTTCCAGTTGGTCATTTTGTAACCATCTTTCTTAGCATTCAATTCATTTGTTTTGAAATTTCTATTTCTAGGTTCATTTTGAGTTCTGGTCTATTTACCTTCTACTCTTCTTTGTTTACCAATTCTGTTGTACCTTTACCTGCACCTCCTCCCCCAGAACCAGGTTTTATACAGTGATATTTTAGGACTACTGTTCCATGTGATATCACAAATATCATCAATGTAGTCACAGGTTTACAGATGGCTTCACATGGTTCTTGGTCACAGGGTTCTATCTTGCTCTGTGCATTTTAAGGTACTTGTGTATGTGGGTGCCTGTGTGTTCCACCTAGCCTTTGGCACCAGGCAGTATGATGGTGCCAGTCCCCCCTCTCATGGAGCACTTGTAGTTCTCCAGGTTCCCCTGGTGACAAGACTTCAGTCACTGTGTAAGACCAGGAGCCCAGCAGGCCCAGAGCTTCAGCTATAGCCACCATTCTGTGTTTTTGCTTCCTTTCTGGTCCACAGAAATGTTTATCTTGTTGGGTTTTTTCTTTTTCTTTTTTTTTTTTTTTTTAAGCACAGATGTGTTTACAGATTTTTATCTATTACTTTTTGTATTTGGAGATGAAGTATGAACTCACTGTGCCATCTTGACTGGAAATACACCATTTTCCTCAACCTCTTTTATTCAGTTACAAATTGAGTTTCTATGTTGTGCTTCTTTTTTATAATAATCCATATATTTTCTTCTGATGCTAATATGGATTTTAGTTATTATATCTGTAGTAGTCTTTTGGATGCCATCTATGATAGCCACTTTTTTTATCTGCTAATGGTTCTAAAAGACTATGTTCTTTTATAAATGTGTATCTGTGCAATTTGCTTTCAGATTCTGCACACAGATATAGTTCAGGTAGCTCTACGGTTTGAACCTGTCCCCCAGAGTTCACATGCTGGAAACTCAATCCCCAGTGCAACAGTGTTGAGAAGTGGGATATTTAAGAGGTGACTAGGTTATGAGGGCTCTGCCCTCATGAAAAGATTAATGTCTTTATTGTGGGAGTGGGTTAGTTATCATGGGAGTAGGTTCCTAATAAAAGGATGAGTTTGGTGCGTTTTTCCCCCCGACCCCTTTCCCCTTTTCTTTCTCTCTCTTCCCCTCCACCTTCTGCCATAGAATGACATTGCAGGAAGGCCCTCACCAGATGTCAGCAACTTGATCTTGGACCTTCAAGCCTCCAGAAGTCAGGAAATAAATTTCTGTTCTTTATAAATTACCTCGTCTATGTATACTGTTATAGCAGCACAAAATGGACCAAGACAGGTAGCTGTAACATAAAGTTTTAAAGCACCCAAAGACTTTAAGATAACCTTAAATAACCACTAACAGTGAGAGGGTTTTAAGCAGTGTGACAAGCTGGTATGGTGAGATTATTGCAGGCTCTGGTGTAAAACAAGTCCCCAAGAGAAGGTTGATCTCACTCTTGGCAATGTGCTTTCTCAGTTCTGCCTCATCCCTGTGTTCCTGCCCTTCACAGAAGTTCCAAGACCCAGATGAGAGTCATTTTTCTCAAGACAGGTTGCTTAGTGAACTTTATTCCTCATCCACATTCTCGAAGATTTGAATTCACTGTCTCACCGTGGCTCCTTTTCTTCTTCGTCCGAGTCTCTTTAGTCAACACATTTTAGCACAATGAATCCCTTTGCCTCTGCCTAGAGTTAGCTGTGACTTGTCCGTGTCCTAGTGCTTCAACTGTCTTCATGATTTGTCTTTTTTTTTTTCCATTTAATGTTCCTTATCCACTCAAAACACTGCTTTTCTCTGTGTTCTTCCTATGTAGTTACAAATTCTCCCCTTTACTCTGGGTCCTAAAAATGGGATTAAGTTCAGGCAAATATGCCTTGGGTATGAAAATCTCATGTTTTCAAAAACTATAGATTACTGAGGATATGGCCACATCTCCTGCCCTGGAGAAATGACGGTATTGAGATCCTGCTCAGAGGAACCTCTCCAGGAAAGACAGGCAGAGGAATTATAGGAACATGGATCCCCTGGGTAAAGACAGATGCAAGTTGAGGGTCTGTTAAAGAACCTCCTCTCTCTTAGTGACTGTTAGCCTGGGAAGTCTGAAATGACCCACAGAATGCAGCTTGAAGCTTGACAGATCCCCAGTGTTCTCTACAAAAACAGTAGTGAGGTCTTTAGGGACCAAAGCAATTTCTGTTCTATCCCCGTGATAACATCTTGTTTTGTCTAAGGTGTCTAATCTCTTTGTTCTGCACATGGGAAATGGGATACTTCCCTGTGCTCTGATTCCCTGATTTTTTCGGTATTCCCAGAGGCCTTCAGGGCAACCTGCACAGAACAATTTCATGGCACTCATGGGGTACCTGCCACCGTTGACTTCCTTTCTCTCTTTTTATTTTTCTCTACTCAACTTTGGGCCTTTCCTGGTGAACATATTCTTATCTTAGATCTCTTCTGTTGTTTACTTTGCTTCCTCATTGGATCATGATTATCATTCCTCCCTATTTTTCTCCATTCTTTTCTTCAATCATGCCTTCGAAGTTCAGTCCATCCTGTCTTCCATTACCATCCCTCAATTTCCTCCTCAAATGTTTTAAAACCATTTTGTTGGTATGTTTGAGCCATCTACTTCTAGTATATGTATTTTAGTTCCTGTATACCCCAGTGACATTTGAATGCTCTACTTTTTATTTCAGATTATGTTATCAGAATCAATAAAATAGAACTGATTCAAGGGCAGGAACTTACTGTAGATATGGAATCCCAAGAAAAGTTACCTGGAAAATCAATGAAAGGCTTCTGAATGAGAAGAAACCCAAGAACATGAAAGATGGACAGAAATATATCAGAGAGCCGAGTGCAGTGGCTCACACTTAGAATCCCACCACTCCAGGTGGAGATGGGCGGATCACCTGAGGTCAGGAGTTTGAGACCAGACTAGCCAACATGGTGAAACCCCGTCTCTACTAAAAATACAAAAATTAGCCAGGTGTGGTGGTGTAAGCCTGTAATCCCAGCTACTTGGGAGGCTGAGAGGAGAATCCCTTGAACCTGGGAGCCTCAGGTTGCACTGAGCCAAGATCACGTCACTGCACTCCAGCCTGGGCGACAGAGCGAGACTCCGTCTTATACAAACAAACAAACAAAAAACAAAGAAATATATCAGAGAAACACAATCAACTGAGAGAAAATATATGTGTGATGAATGTGGGAAAACATTCACTCAAAACTCAAGCCCCATTAGACATAAAATAATCTGTACTGGTAACACACCCTCTTCATGTAATGTATGTAGCAAAACTTTTACTCAGAGCTCACAACTTACTGACCATCAGAGAATACATAGCCATATAAAACCCTATCAGTGTGATGAGTGTGAAAAAGTCTTTTATTACAGTTCATATCTTATTCAGCATTGAAGGACCCACACAGGAGAAACCTTTCCAATGTAGTGAGTGTGGGAAAGTCTTTCATCACAGCTCAGATGTTATTTGACACCAGAGAACTCACACGGAAAAGAAACCATACCAGTGTAATGATTGTGGGAAATCCTCTCTGAGTTCATATCTGAGACAACATCAGAGTTCATACTGAAGAGAAGCCATAGCAGTGTAGTGAGTGAGGGAAAAGCTTTAGCTAGTGCTTGGGCCTCTTCTGTCACCAGAAAATCCACAGTGGAAAGAAACTATATGAATGTGACAAGCGTGGAAAGGCCTTCAGATACAGTTCAGCTCTTGTTGGACACCAGCGAATCCACGGTAGAGAGAAGCCCTATGAGTGTGATGTGTGTGGGAAAGCTTTCAGTAACAGCTCACATCTTTTGAGACACCAAAGAACCCACACTGGAGAAAAGCCCTGCAAATGTGATGCATATGGAAAAGCTTTCAGGCAGAGCTCACACCTCATTTTACATGAGCAAATCCACACTGGAAAGAAGCCCCGGTGATGTCAAGCGTGATGCAACATTGTTCATCTATGCTCATTCCTGTGGAACATCAAAAAAGCACAACTAGTAAAAGATGCCACCAATACAGTGATGCAGGGAACTCTGCAATCACTATTGCAATTTCAGCAGTCATTTAAAAATACAGCCAGGCATGGTGGCTCATGCCTGTAATCCCAGCAGTTTTGGAGGTGAAGGTGGGGGATCACTTGAGACCAGGAGTTCAAGACCAGCCTGGGCAACATAGAAAAATTACATATAACAAAAAATTACATACAACATACAAAAAATTTAAAAATTAGCTGGACATAGTGGTGCATGCCTGTAGTTCCAGCTACTCAGGAGTCTAAGGCAGGAGGATTGCTTGAGCTCAGGAGTTCAAGGTCACAATGAGCTATAATTACACCACCATACTCCAGCATGAACAATAGAGCAAGACTCTGTCCCAGAAAAAAGGAAAGAAAATACATGTGAAGGCTAAAATGGGCAAGCACCCGCAGGCTTGCTAAACAAGGCTTTCTGATTCTCTGCCATTAGGCACATCACCTGATAAACTGGGACTCTGAAGGAGCTTATTCCATACTCTCAAACTTTTCTCTAAAGCAAGTGGCTCAGGAAATCTAAAAATTCTATTAGATATGTATTGGAGGTTTTAGCAATTACTACTGTTCTCTTTCCCCTTCCCTTTTTCTCCTCTTCTATTTGTTTCTTTGAAGTTGGAGTAATAAACTTCTCTAAAGTGTGAAATTAGAATTAACATCTGATCTACATAAAAAAGCCTTGTATTTTTTTAACTTGATAAAATACTATAGCTTTTTACTTACTTACCCTAAAAGCACTGTGAAATACAAAAGCCATTTTGTAATATTAGAATGAATTATTATTTACACAGGTAGGATAGTTCAGTGAAGGTAAAATAAGATTCATCACGCAAATTCCCAGTAACCTTTCACATCTTAAAGATGGCAAACAGTCCGAACGGGCTGTATTTGGCCTGCACAGGCATTTCCCCCCCAATGCAGTATTTTAAAAAATATTTAAAACTATTGCCATTATTTAAGAATCTGGAGATTTCATATAAAATCTAACTTTCCAGATACTCTTACAAAAATGCATGACGTGACTACACTAGACACCACATTCCCACATGGCAACAGTTGATGAGCTGATTCATTCTACTCTCATCTAGAACATAAAGTACTAAAAATACTGCATTGGGGGAGAAATGCCTGTGCAGGCCAAATACAGCCCATTTGGCCTGTTTGCCATCTTTAAGATGTGAAAGGTTACTGGGAATTTGGGTGATGAATCTTGTTTTACCCTCACTGAACCATCCTACCTATGTAAATAATAATTCATTCTAATAATTCATTCAAATTCATTCTACTCTCCAGTTGGACATGGTCCTCCCTGTCACACAGCTTCTGTTGCCTTATACTGCCCCCTTCATTCAACCATTTAAACTGTGTGCCCTAAGGATTTCTTAGTGAGGCTTCAAGGACTCTAGATGCTTTACCACCCAAACAGCTTCACTTTCATTAGTTTTATATATTGGCCTTCCAATTAAATTTTTCCATGAAGAACAGGTTTTCTGCTAACAAATCTGAAGATTTAGATTAAAAATTTTAAATATATTCTTTGATCACCTGAAGTTAGAGGAAAGCCACTTCGAAATTTTATTTGGATAGAATTTGTAGGTAATCTACTGAAAGTCAACTATAATAGCTTCTAGCAGACTCCATAGAGACTACTTCTTTGGGTAAGATACAAAACACATGAAGTGGGTCAACATTAAGTGTAATAGTGAAAAAACACTGGGCCAAACGCAGGTATTAAACTGAGGAGAGAATCATTTACATTTGAAGCATTTAGTAATAGGAGCAGTTGTGGAAAAATGGTAGGATGGGGCCAAAATGGGAAAGTGGAGAGGTAGGGGGAAAAAAGCAGCTAAGAATAAGGGAAGGATGGGAATAAACTCTATGAGCAAAGGAAAGTGAAGAGAAATTGGGGGTAAAGGGAAAAAGTGGTTAAAAAGGACAAGGACATGACAAAAACAAACTGCAAAGAGGAAATGGAAGCCAAACTAGTGAAAGTATAGTAAGGGAGAAAGCAGCAAACTTTAGAGAAATGTGAGATGGAAGCTGAAGGTCTCTGGAGGTTGGAGTACTTTATGTTCTTTTTATCACTGTCTTCAGAGTAATAATCAACTTTTTATTTCCATGCCACGTAGGCCAAATGCCTTATATGAAGGATCCTAACCCAAATCTAAGTTTACTACTATTCCTTGAGGAACACTCAGGATCCTTGTCCTGTGTTAGTCTCTGAGTGTTGACATAGGATACCTCTCTTCTCTACCACTCTAGGCCCCAATTTGTTGAATCCTGCTCAGCCTAGATGTCACTTCAGCAAAAAGATTCTCCTGAGTAGCAAAAATATATGCTTGGCTTCTCCAAGAGGCATCCAGAGTGCTCCTTTGTGGGAAGAAGTTTGTCTATTCCCCCTCTCCATTCTGCAATAGTATTTTCTGAGATAATAATACCCATTCTAAGTTAAATAAATGATACATGCAAAAGGAAAAGCCCTTATAAACTATAGCAATAATAGCTGCCATTTGTTGAGCACTTACTGTGGTTCAGACATTGTACCAAGCACCTTATATATTTAATGTAAACTTTCCAATTCTTCTTTTAGGTTCTGTATATTTTCTTAAACAATGTATAGATATAAATTATTCTTATGAAAAGTTTATAATAAAATGACAAGTTTTTATTACATTAAAATGTCAAGTAGTGGGCTGGGCGTGGTATCTCACATCTGTAATCCCAGCACTTTGGGAGGCTGAGGCAGGTGGATCATGATGTCAAGAGATTGATACCATCCTGGCCAACACGGTGAAACCCTGTCTGTACTAAAAATTCAAAAATTAGCTGGGCATGGTGGTGTGCGCCTGTAGTCCCAGCTACTCAGGAGGCTGAGGCAGGAGAATCGCTTGAGCCTGAGAGGAAGAGGCTGCAGAGAGCCGAGATAGCGCCACCGCACTCCAGCCTGGTGAAAGAGCGAGACTCCGTCTCAAAAAAAAAAAAAAAAAAGTCAAGTAGCATTGCTGTGCTTGTGTTCATCAATGAATATATTACATAATATAATCACTGAATATATTACATAATATAATCATAATAAAATATTTAAAATATTAAAAATTGAAAGAAAATGACAACAAACTCAACTGTATTTAGGTGATGAAAATAGAGTGATTTCCCCCTTTTTCTTCCAATTTCTGTATATTCCAAATGGAAAAGTTAGAAAGAATTCATCATACACATGTAAATGCTTTTGAAAAATTAAAATGCTACAGAATTATCTGAGTCTAGAGATTACTCTTTCATAACTTCTTCAATTATTGTCTTTAGGGTAGGGTTGGTTTATTTAGATTTTTCTACTTCTTAAATGAATTTTGGAACTAATATTTTTTCCCAGAAAATCACTAATCTCATTGAGATTTTCAAAAATGTTAGCAGGCTACTTTCCTCTTCATCTGCTATTTGTGATTTATAATGTTTAAATGTTTTCTCTCAATTGGATTTACCATAGGCTTGTTGCTTTTATGGGCTTGTTAACAAACATTTTTGTATTTATTTATTAATGTCACTATTTTTCTATTTTCTAATCCATTTTATTCTGCTTTTACTTTTATTTTTTTCCAACTTTTTCCTTGGGGGCAGAGGAGGCTTTCTCCTTTTTGTAATTCCTTGAGTTGGATGTTTAGTTCATTTATTTTCTTTCTTTTTTCTATAATGAAAGCAAGTGAGAATATATATCTACCAAGTACTGTTATTTTTTAAACAGTCCACTGTGGGGATTTGTGTGAGGCAGGGGTGAGAAGGTTGGGGGCTTTCTGTTTTTGTAGTTTGGGAAGATACAGGGGGAGGAGAGGAAGGTCCTGCTTGTCATATACCATACTGTATACTTAGGCCTTAATGAAGAGGTCAGAGAGGCTTTATCCTAGTACAAGAAGAATACACCTAAGCTGAGGATAGAGCCAGGATTTTAACAAGATCTGCAACAGTGATTGGGAGCCTCCTTTTGTCTGGTGTTCAGCCACTCACGTTACCACAGCAGGTGCTCCAAGGTGCTAGCCAGTTGATTCTCTGAAGTTGGATGATGAGCCAGGGGCATGCTTGAAGAATATTCTGGGCTATTTAGGAAATTCAGGAAGGATGACCTGTGGCAGGTGTCATCCAGAAAGCAGGCTGGGCTTGTGCTTAAAAACCTGATGAGATAATTTAATTCAGCAAGATATTAAATAAAGAGGGCAAAACATACTGATAATACACTGTGCACTAAAGGGGAAGCAGGAAATTACTAAGCATCGTCTGGATTTTTTATCTGTTCAGTTGCCTATGAGGGACATGTTATGTCACAGTCAAGGGAAAAAGGGACTTTGTCTTTTGATCATGTACTTCTAATGGAAAGAAATGCAGGGGTTATCCTTTTTCTAAAATTTTCTTCCCAGAGTGGGAGAGTGTTCTAAAGCATATTTGAAAATTATTTATATCTACACTTTCTAAATAATCCACACAAATTTATTTGCTCACTTATATTTGCCCTTAAAAAGCACACAGAAGTTGAATCTGATTTTCATATTAAAGGAATTATACCCTTTTACAAGGCATAATTCCTTTAAGATGAAAGGTATGTATCTACAAAAGGTATATATATCTATGGAAGGATATACATTTCACAAAAAAATATTGTCAAACTAGATGCTGGGGACATTTATTCTTTCTAATAAATTTATGTGAATGCATTACTTATCTTTGACTTGTCAGGCAAAGAATTTCAGAGGAGGAAAATAGATATTGATGAAATTCTCCAAACAGGAAAATTTTTTTATAGGTTGTGGAGAATAAATAGGGTTTTAAGAACAATTATCTTTTCCCATTTATACCAGTAGCAAATCTTCATAAGAAATTGAAATGTTCCAGAAATATATAATGTATAAAATGCAGGTTCTCCTTAAGTTTACCCCCAACTGATACTCATAGTGAATTTTTTTTTTTTTTTTAAGACAGAGTCTCACTCTGTCGCCAGGCTGGAGTGCAGTGGCATGATCTCGGCTCACTGCAACTTCTACCTCCTGGGTTCAAGTGATTCTCCTGCCTCAGCCTCCTAAGTAGCTGGGACTAACAGGCACATGCCACCATGCCCAGCTAATTTTTGTATTTTTAGTACAGATGGGCTTTCACCGTGTTGGCCAGGATGGTCTCGATCTCTTGACCTCGTGATCCGCCTGCCTCGGCCTCCCAAAGTGCTAGGATTACAGGTGTGAGCCACCTTGCCCGGCCAACATTTTTAAGATAATAATTTTCACAAAAACAATCATACCATATCTTTTGTAACTTTTTATTTTACTCAATATACCTTTAGCATCTCTTAGTTTCTAAAAACTGGGTGGTATTTTAATGAATAGACATATAAAAATTTAAATTCCAAATGTTAGGCATTCAAGTTTCCCAATTTAAATAAATAGTGCTTCTTTGTACATACGTTCAAACATTTATGTAAGCATTTCTATATGGATAATTCCAAGAAGCTAAGTTGTTGAATCAAGGGGTATGGACAACTTCTTACCTTCTAAATAAGTCTTACCTTCTAAAAATGTAAAACTAAGTATGCCTGTATATCCACACACCTCCTAACACTGAATATTATAAATCGTTTGTCTTTAGCAATCTTAAAAATCTTTCTTGTTTTGTTTAAATTCTTATTAGTGAACCTTTTCATATTCACTATTCTTAATTTTGTGTTCTATAAATGTCAAGTGAGTCTGTGTGAAGAGAGTCCACCAACAGGCTTTGTGTGAGCAACAAGGCTGTTTATTTCACTTGGGTGCAAGTGGGCTGAGTCCAAAAAGAGAGTCAGCAAAGGGAGATAGGGGTGGGGCAGTTTTATAGGATTTGGGTAGGTAGTGGAAAATTACAGTTAAAGGTGGTTATCTCTTGTGGGCAGGGGCGGGGGTCACAAGGTGCCAAGGTGCTGGGTGGGGAGATCATGAGACTCACTGTCGGGGGCAGGGGGAATGTCACAAGGTCGATTGATTAGTTGGGGTGGGGCAGGAACAAATCTCAATGGTGGAATGCCATCTTTTGTGGTTCTTCAGTTGCTCCAGGTCATCTGGATGTATACGTGGCGGTCACAGGGGCTATGATGGCTTAGTATCATATTGTCAGAGGCCTGACAATAAATGCATGCAGGTTAAGTACTTTGTCTATTTTTCTATTGGCTTGTTCATATTTTTATTTTTTGGTAAGATAAAAGGTCTTTGTATATCAGGAAAATCAGCTGTGTCTTTTAGATGTGTGGCATATTTTACTTTTAGTTTATATTTTATTTTTACTTTTTTCATTCAAATATTTCAATTTTACAAGGCCAGTTTCATTTATCTTTTCCTCCATGGCCTTTTCAGTTTTATGTCTTTAGGGGTTTGTGTTATTCTTAAAAAGGCCCTTCCCACTCCAACTTTCCAACCTGTCTCCCTGCTTCTGCCCTTGCCCAACCCCTTCACATTCAAGTCTACTGTTAACATAGCAGCCAAAATAATAATCTCAATACCCAAGTTTAATCATGTTACTTCTCTACTCAGAAATCTCAAATGAGCCATGCTGGGTAGCTCACACCTGTAGCTCCAGCTACTCAGGAGGCTGAGGCGAGAAGATCACTTGAGCCCAGGAGTTTCAGGCTGCAGTAAGCTATGATCGCACCACTCACTGCACTCCAGTCTGGGTGACAGAGTGAGACCCATCTCCTAAAACAAAGGAAAAGGAAAGAAAAGAGAAAAGAAAATAAACTGAGTAGCTTATCATTTTATCATTTTAGAGTAAAAATACCCTTGCACTCACCCAAGGCTCTCACTATCTCTCCACCCAACGCTCTTTTGCTCACTCAGCTCCAGAAAAACAAGCACCCTTCCTTTGCCCAAAATACTTAAAACACACTCCACTCCAGGCTTTTGCATTTGTTATCCCTCTCCCTGAAACATCTTTATCCCTGATGGCCCATTCCCTCAGCTCCCTCAATCTTTGCTCAAATGTCAATTTCCTAGTCAGGTCCTCCATGAATATCCTATTTAAATTGCATCACTTCATTCTCACCCCAAATTCCCTATTTCCTTTATTTTCTCCTTAGAACTGATATCCACTCTCTATACACTATGTATATTTTTTGGTTTATTGCCTGCCTCCCCAGCACACACACACACACACACACACATACACACACACACAAGATTATAAATTCCATGAAAGGAAGGGCATTGTTTTGCTCAAAATTAGTTCCAGCTTCCACAATAGTGCCTGGCATAGTAGATAAATCAATATTTGTGTAAGAAAGGAGAAGAGGGAGTAAAAAACTAAGAGCATTTTTCACCCATCAATTTGGCAAAGATCAAAATATTTTATAACACTGTGTTGACAAGTATAGGTAAATAAGAATACTGCTAGTAGATCCTATGATTGGTGATTTGGCATTAACAAAAGTACAAATTTCCCTATTCTATGCTGTAGTAATTCCCTTTCTAGACATACAGACTATGGATATATCCTTACACATGAAAAATGATGTGAGTTCACAGTAAGTTATTGCAGCAATGTTTGAAAAAGAAGAATTGGAAACAACCTCATGACCACCAATGGGGTACTTATTAACAAATTATAGAACATAATACACAGTTGAATACCGTGCAGTTGTTTAAAAAAGAGCAAGATCAAGGAAACACTTATGTACAGCCTTTACCAAGACCACCTGGTAAAAAGAAAAATAAGAAAGGTACAGAAGTGCTACTATTTGTGCAGAGGGGAAAAAGCGCGGACAATCTATAACGGTGTAATATATCTACGGAAGGATATACAAGTCACGAAAAATATTGTCAAACTAGACGCTGGGGGACATTTACTCTTTTTAATAAATGTATGTGAATGCATTACTTATCCATATTACTCAATAATTAAACCGAAAAACGTTTTAAAGAAGTACAAATAAGACTTGCTCGCAGATCCCGCAATCCCATCAATACGAGGCGTAAAAGCCGGGTCCTCCACTGGCTAGGGCCGAGGAGGCAAGCACTCAAGCTGCCACAGAGGCGAAGCTTCCTAGAGCGGCCCGGAAGTGCCCGGCTGAAGCGGCCGGGCGCCGATTGGTGTCTTTGAGTCTAGTCTTTGTTCGGGGCTGTCCAAAGGACGCTAGCTGTTGCACCTGTTCCTCCCTGCGCGTAAGGTGAGTGTCTCCCGGCTCCCAGGTGGAGAAAAGGGGACAAGACGCAGCTGTGGTCAGCAGCAACACCCTCCCCACACCTCCCTGTCGCGGGCAGAGTGTAACACTCCTGTCCCTCCCTCCGCCCCCCAACAGATCTACAGGAGAGGATTTGGCCCAGCCTTCCGGGAGAGGATGGGTGGAAGGGGGACACTGGTTGCGGGTTCCTCTGCAGAGGCATCTGTCTGATCCCCTTCCAGGGTTGGCACACATATCCTATAACCAGTGAATCCTGGGGGCACAAGCTGGCCCGTGCATCTCATGGTAACAGAATGAAGAGCCTTTTAACAAAGCCGTTAATAATACTTGGCGTTTATTTAGTGCTTACTAGTGCCCGCTGCCATGCCAGGGACGTTGCATACGTTCTCATGTAATCTGTATATCAACCCTGTAACACACATGAGAATTGTACCTGAGGATCTGTAGTTCTAGTCCAGATAAATAACTTCCTCTAAGTTACACAATAGAGCACAGATTCAAATCATATCCCTGCGTCACTGTTTTTTGTTTTGTTTTGTTTTGTTTTGTTTCAGCTTCCTATAAGACTGTTTTCTCTGATTGACTTCTGGTGGCTTGGCTTCATTATGATGTGTTTATGTTCACAGAAATTTTTGTAATTTCTCTATGGTAACAACTTTTTATGCCTTAGGAGTGTCTCTGAGGCAGGATTCTAAGAGATTCTCTTTGACTCAATCCCAGATAGAGGATAAATCTCCTGGCAAAGCCCAGAATGACCACAGCCCTGGAACCTGAGGACCAAAAAGGACTTCTGATAATTAAGGCAGAGGACCATTACTGGGGACAGGATTCCAGCTCACAAAAGTGCAGTCCTCACAGGAGGGAACTCTATAGACAACACTTCAGGAAGCTCTGCTATCAGGATGCACCTGGACCCCGTGAAGCTCTTACCCAGCTGTGGGAGCTCTGCCGTCAGTGGCTGAGGCCAGAATGCCACACCAAGGAGCAGATTTTAGACCTGCTGGTGCTAGAACAGTTCCTGAGCATTCTTCCTAAAGACCTGCAAGCATGGGTGCGTGCACACCATCCAGAGACTGGAGAGGAGGCAGTGACGGTACTGGAGGATCTGGAGAGAGAGCTTGATGAACCTGGAAAGCAGGTGTGAAGGGGCAGTCATCTGGCTGTGAGTGATCAGGGGATATGGATGGAGCCAAAGCAAAAGGCATATGAAAGAACATCTGAAAATATTTATCCTCTAAAGAACAAGGCATAGGAAGGGACCTGACTACCTATGTCAAATAATTAAAGTGTGGCTGGGTAAAGAGAGGAGAGTCACTAGACTGATTCTATGCCTGTTTGGAAGGCTAGGATCAGTGGGAAGTTACCAAAAGGCAATCAGGTATCAGAGGAAAAGAAATAATTTTCTGCCATTCATAGATACCCATAAATAAAATAGGCTACCCCATAAGAAACTCCCTTTCCATATAGGTATTCAAGCGGAGATTCAAGTAGATGTCAAGGATATTGCAGAATAGGACTGTCCAACAGAAATATAATGCAAGCTGTATATGTATTTAAATTTTCTAGTAGCCACATTAAAAAAAAAGGTGAAATATATATTTTATTTAGCCCACAATATTTAATCATGTAATCAATATTTTTAATGAGGTATTTTAGATATCTGTGCTTTAAATTTTCAAAATTTGGTATGTATCTTACATTTAGCTTATCTCATTTGTACTAGCCATATTTTAAGTACTCAGTAACCACATTTTGCTAGTGACTACCATATCGGATAGCATGGTTATAGAAGAAATGCTCCCATTTGCTGGAAGTTGGGCTAGATGATTTTTAAGCTACCTTCCAAATCCCAGTGCTCTGATCCTGGACTTCTGCAGATCAATGAAAGAAGAGACGTTGAATTTTACTCTCTAGTGTCCTGAATTGTAGAGATTAGCCTCTGTTCCTTCTCCTAGCCATTATTGCCATTTACAATGAAATGAGAATTTGTCCCCCCTTTCTATGTCCCTGGAAGATGTTTCATTTGATTGTTTTATCTGAAGTTACTTAAGTTTCCATAAAATTCACCTTACACACCTCATTTTCCCTAGGTCCCAGGCAATTCAGAAAGACGGGACATACTCATGGACAAGTTGGCCCCCTTGGGAAGGCCATATGAATCACTGACTGTCCAGCTCCATCCCAAAAAGACCCAGCTGGAGCAGGAAGCTGGGAAACCACAAAGGAATGGTAAGCAGGAACAGTTCTGAGTGTATGAGGGTAGAGGTACTTCCTTAGGTTAGAGGAAAACTTTCTCACTTTCATCTTCTCCTTTTAAAGATTTCCTGCTTGTCCTCCACCTCACTATGGACAATTTTATCCTCCTCTTACCCTTGCTCCATGATGGAGTTATATTTTAGTTTCTCACTAGACAAAAAAGCTGCTATTTGGCCCAAGGGATGAGGATGGAGTTTATTTAATATCCTTATAATTCTGTTGTTATCTAATGATTCTTGTTCCAAATCCCCCTAAATTTCCATTTTGAGACAGGAGAACTTATGGCACTCTGTATTAGTCAGCGAGGCCTGTCATACAGAATACCATGGACTTATGGGTGGCTTAACAGAAATTTATTTTCTCACAGTTCTGGAGGCTGGAAGTCCAAGATGAATATGCTTACAGGGTTAGTTACTAGTAAGGCTACTCTCCTTGGCTTGCAGACCTCTTGCTGTGTCTTCACATGGCCTTTCTCTGTACACACACACTCCTGGTGTCTCTTCCTCTTGTAAGGACACTAGTACTATTGGATTAGGGTCCTACCCTTATGACCTTATTCAACCTTAATTACTTCATTAAAGCCCTATCGTCATATACAGTAATGTTTGAAAGGGGTTAGGGCTTCAATGTATGAATTTGTGGAGGAAGACAAGTCAATCTATAACACATTCCCATGATGAAAGAAGTAGGGAAGAGAGACAATGATCAGTCAATACAGCAAAGTTTCTTGTTTTTATCTGCATGTCAAATTAATTGGGTTTTATCCCCCATCCCAGCTCCCTAATTACAAACTAGGGTGTCTAGTGTATCCCCAGGCTACATTAAAAAGCTGGTGAATTTTAAATTCCAGTTTATCCAAACCCTACCTTTTTCAGTGCTCACCACCCTTTCTCTAGAGGCTCCCATGTCTAATAATGCCTCTCCGGGTAGTTCCTTATACTCTAGCCTATTTTGTATTCTTACTACTTAAGTTTTACCAATATCCCATCCTGTAGGATCCCTACCAGATGATTTGTCTAATCTGAAAAATTATTTTGAGCTAAGATGTTCCTAGCTGCTATCTGGAAAGGATGACATTTAATTATATGTAATGTAAAGAAGCCTTTCAGTGCTTTAACTCTAGGAGTGGAGTGCTGGTTACTGTTTGGCTTTAGAAGTGACGTTAAGAACCTCCTATCTGTTCTTTTTTATTTTTATTTTATTTTATTTTTTTTAGAGGAGAGGTCTCACTATGTTTCCCAGGCTTGTCTCAAACTCCTGGGCTCAAGTGATCTTTCCACCTTAGCTTCCCAAAGTGCTAGGATTATAAGCATGAGCCACTGTGCCTGGCTCAACCTGTCTTTTGATTCATTCATCTTTCACTGAGTATTTACTAAATAGCAGCTATATGCCAGACACTATACTAAATGTAAGGAATCCAAAGGTTAGACACTTACATTACTTCTCTTCAAGAAGCAGGAGAGTGAGCACTTACAATAGTGTAATAATTACCATACTAGAGATACACCGTGAACTACAAAGAGGATAGCTATCCCTGAGGTGCACCTGCAAAAATATCACAGAGTAGGCTTGCTTGAGCTGAGAAGGTCAGGTGGGAGCTGAAAGGGGGTGACATTTTAGGCAAAGAAACGGTGAAAAAAAATAGCATCAGAGAATAACATTCTAAGAATAGCAACTGCTCTGAGTTTGATTCTGATAAGGAGTCGTCTGTAGGAGGGAAAATCAGCAATGTGTGTTTTAATAAACGATCCAGCTGATTCTGATGCACAATAAGGTTAGAAACCACCGAGCTAGGATTTAGACAGGAGGTGATGACAGCAAGGACATCAGTTTCAGGAAAAAATATTTTACCCAGCATATACACTGACTATCCATTGTCATTTCCTATTCCTTTTCATTCCTCTATTTACTCTGACCTGCATGTTGTCATGCTTCCTGCTTCCAGCTAATTATTATCCTTCAAACACACTCCCCTCCTTGGATGGTTCCTATTCACTATATTCCTCTCAGACCCCAAATCCTATTATCCTCTCCATTCACTTTTACTTGATTTTACTTGCCACCTATGTTTCAGGCCCCTGCATGTTTCTCCCAAACTTTTACCTCCCTCCCCATCTCTGTTCTCCAGTCTCTCTAATTATCCTTGGCATATCTATAGTCCCCTCATTTATCCGTCTTCCCTTACATAGTATTGCTAACTTATCTCTTGAGCTCTATTTTTGCCTTTTCTTCTCTTAATCTACTCTCAAACAACTTGTTCTGCTGATATCTTCCTTAATTCTTAATTTCTTCCTTACATTGTGACTCTGTGCTATGATGATACCAAAAATAAGATGGTACCAAATATTTGATATGTGTGTTGTATGTGACTTCTCATTATTTTATAACACATTTATAACATTTACATGTTCTTTCTTCCATAGGCTGTTTGCTTCTCAAACATAGAATAGGACCCGTTTGTGTACTGTTTGTTTGTTACAGGTGATAAAACTAGGACTAAGAATGAAGAGTTGTTCCAGAAGGAAGATATGCCCAAAGACAAGGAATTCCTTGGGGAGATAAATGACAGACTGAACAAAGATACTCCTCAGCATCCTAAGTCCAAAGATATTATTGAAAATGAGGGCAGATCAGAATGGCAACAGAGGGAAAGAAGACGATATAAATGTGATGAATGTGGGAAAAGTTTCAGTCATAGCTCAGACCTTAGTAAACACAGGAGAACTCACACGGGAGAGAAGCCCTATAAATGTGATGAGTGTGGAAAAGCCTTCATTCAGCGCTCACATCTCATTGGACATCATAGAGTACACACGGGAGTAAAACCCTATAAATGTAAAGAATGTGGGAAAGACTTCAGTGGGCGCACAGGTCTTATTCAGCATCAGAGAATCCACACAGGTGAAAAACCCTATGAATGTGATGAGTGTGGAAGGCCTTTCCGAGTAAGTTCAGCTCTTATTAGACATCAAAGAATTCATACCGCAAATAAACTCTACTAATATAGCAGTAATATCAAAAGTTCTTTGGACACTCAGGCCTAACTAGTTATCAAAGAATCTATTTTAGAAACCTTGAGTTTCCTCAATGTGGTCAAAGCTTCAGTCATCATTAAACTTCTCTGGACCAAAGAATCTACCTGAGTAAAATATCCTTTTATTTCAAATTAGTTCAGTTTTGAGGGGGAATCAAGAATTCTTTCAGAAAGCCTTGTCCACTGACAACACTGCTCACCTGCAGCCCAAGATCAATGGTTCCTGGATGAAAGACAGTGAATTAATTCTGTCTCTGCTCCAGGTCCTTTTTAGTTGACCATTCAGTGTCTGACTTTAGGCAAGACAAGACATACACATTTTTCTCTGCCTTCATTTCCCCTTCTGTAAAGTACAGATGATAATAGAGGCTTACCAGGTATGTTTCGACAAGTTAAAACTGATGAAAACTACTTTTGAGATTAAGATATAAAACAATGCTAATTATTTGTTTTCCACCATTACTCATATAATAGCCTCAACATCCCTTTTTTATCTTAAAATGGGGAGTATGATTATTTTTTGGAAATTTTTGTTTGCCAATGATAAAGAATAAGCCATCAGAAGACAGGAGGCCAGCCTGGTCAACACAGCGAGACACCACCTCTACAGAAACTTAAGAAAAATTAGCTAGGCATGGTGGCACACACCTGTAGTTCCACCCAACTATTTAGGAGGCTGAGGTGGGAAGATCACTTGAACCCAGGAGTTCAAGGCTATCGTGAGATGTGATCGCACCACTGCACCCCAGCCTAGGCAAGAGCAAGACCTTATCTCAAAAAGAAGAAAAAAAGGCTGAGGAAAACAAAATGGAGGAGGAGGCAGTCTGTGATCATTAGGAGCTGCTGGGGAGAGGAAGGAATCTATAACTAGATATAACTTCTTTTCTGGATTTCAGGTTATTTTAAACTGAGGGAGATAGGAAGGGGTTGGTCTAACTTGGTCCAGTTTGTCCAGATTGGTGGCCAGTACCCACATTAACTCAAATAAAATGGAAAATTCAGTTCCTCACATTTCAAGTGCTCATAGCTACATGTTAGTGGCCACTATATTGGACAGCACAGATACACACCTTTTTTTTTTTTTTTCTTTTTTTTGCCCAGGCTGGAGTGATCCTCTGTTCACTGCAACCTCCACCTCCCGGGTTCAAGCGATTCTCCTGCCTCAGCCTCCTGAGTAGCTGAGATTACAGGCATGCATCACCATGCCTGGCTAATTTTTGTACTTTTATCAGGATTTTGCCATGTCAGCCAGGCTGGTCTCAAACTCAAGTGATCCGCCCGCCTCATCCTCTCAAAGTGCTGGGATTAAAGGTGTGAGCCACCACACCTGGCCACATCTCTAATTTGAGAATCTTATAGCATGATAGGAATTGTGGCCATAGGCCTTGCACATTCAAATTCACACCACCAATCAAACTGCCAAGAGCAGAGCTCTGGTTCTTTACTTAGTTCTAGGAATAAGGATCACCAAAACAATCAGGAAAGAAGTGATCTAATCTCTTCAAATCTCTTGTTTTCAATTAAGATATTTCAATTGAAGATATTTATTAAGAACAACTGCTTTATCATTGTGTTTAAGATCAGGAAAACTATAAGAATCATTTTTATGTCTATAACTGTAGGAAGATGAATCTTTTAAAAATAATAATAAAGAAAGAAAGAGTCTTGCTCCATTGTCCAGGCCGGAGTACAGTGGCACAATCATACCTCACTGCAGCCTTGAACTCCTGGCTGCAGCCTTGAACTCCTGGGCTCCAGCAATCCTCCCACCTCAGCCTTCCAAATAGCTGGGACTACAAGTGCACACCACCATATCTGGATTTTTTTTTTTTTTTTTGAGATAGGGTCTGACTATGTTACTCAGGCTAGTATCGAATTCCTGGCCTCAAACAATCCTCCCATCCTCCTCCCAAAGTGCTGGGATTACAGGCATGAGCCACCATGCCCAGCCAAGAAAATGAATCTTAAGGTATTTCTCATAATGCCCTAAAGATAAACTGAGCTTTTATGTCCCTTTAACATAATGGTCCTTTAAAAAAATGTATATTTACTTTGAGTATCTTACATCAACACATCTTTTAAATGTCAGGTTTCACACGAATACTTGTTTTATAACTTACTATATTTACCTGAGTAATATTTCAAAGTATTTGAAACACTCAAAGAAAGGATTTTCTTTAATGGTCATGAAGAGAAAAGTAAAGTAAGAAATATTTAGTATTAGTATTAGAAACATCCTTATTTTAAAAATAAAGTTAGGTGCTTTCTGAATAATGGCTTTTCCCCTTTTACCTTTAGTCTTTCTGAGAAACACTACAATGCTTAGAAACTGCTCAGAGTCTTTAAAGGGGAAACTCATGTTTCTGATCCTTGAATTTAGGGAGGCTTCTGCAATGGTAAGAAAGATGATTTTGGCTATCCTAAGATTAGGTTTCCTAAAATTGGTAAACACATGACAGACTGATTTTCCTTTATCCTCTGTATGAGCAGTCCCCAACCTTTCTGGAACCAGGGACTGGTCTCGTGAAAGACAATTTTTCCAAGGATAGGGAAGGGGGTATTGTTTCATTTATCATTAGATTCTCATAAGGAAAGCGCAACCTAGATCCCTCGCATGTGCAGTTCACGATAGGGTTTGCGATCCTGTGAGAATCTAATCCCACTGCTCATCTGACAGGAGGTAGAGCTCAGCTTTGCTTGCTCACTGGCCCCTCACCTCCTGCTTTCCTGGCCACGGTAGGGACTTGGGGACTCCTGCTATATATGACAGAACATTCCGTTCAGCTAGTAGTTTTGAATACCTATTATGTACAAAGAACTGTTCTAGTCTTAGAGTCCTGCACCCTTAAAGGCTGAGTGAAGAGTAGTCTGGAGCACTATAACCATTGTACCCTTTTTAGGTTTTATGTTGATTCCAAATTGCCACCACAGTGCCCACCACAGGTTTGGTCTAATGTTAACCAGAAGGGTAATGGTAAGAGTCAGGGAGGGACATAAAGACATGGGGCCAGAGACAGCCTAGAATGATGTAGGTAAGAGAAGAACAGTCAGTGGGATCTAGGATAACTGCAGGCAAAAGGCAAAAGAGGCATGAGGTCAAAGAAAATCTAAGTAGTTGCTGGTACTCTGGAGATGCAGGCAATGTCTTAGTAAGCATGTAGAAACCCACAGAAGAAACTGGTGGGAGTGCAACTAGTTGGAAAGAACACAGCTCAATCACAGCCACACTTCTTGGAAGAGGAGGTGTAATATGTTGGACACTATCAGTTCTAGCAGAGAGCTATCCTGAATGGACAGCACCTGGTCTGAAAAAAAAAAATACAAAACAAAACAAAAAAAAAACCTGAACATGGAAAGCAGTTCCTCAGAGAGTTGTGTCAAAAGCAAATGTGTTATTGTTCTTCATATCTTTTTGGAGGGTTTTTTTTTTCTGAGGGAGGAGGCAAGAATTTATATTTTGTAGTTTCGTGGACTAACAAGACAGTAATTACAACAGACAGCTATAGGGAATATGGGGGACAGCTCTCTCAGACACAGATGGGTTGGTAGTGAACTGGCAATTCTAAGTAAGGGTGTCAACAGGTATGAATGGAAGAAATAGATGAGTGTTGAGGGAGGGTCTATAGGAGGTATCAGTGGGTATTGATGAAGAGGGGGAAAATGAGAAAGGGATGAAAAGATAATAATTTGATGAAAAGAAAAGGATGAAAAGAGGAACAACTATAAAACAAGGGATGGAGATAGGAAAGATAGACAAGTGATTCTAATATATTGGCATCAATTGTTGGAGACAGTGGATCATATGATACAAGCCATATAAAGGTAAAAAGACCAGCTCCTGATCCCAAGGTGCTTTGAGTCTTACGTGTACAGCACACACTATATTATCTTTATTAAATGGTCTACATTCTCATCTTGAGCATGAAATTATTCTATTTTAGTCTGATCACAAAATCCATCAACAGTGGAAACAAATGGAAACTGAAATGCTTCAAAACAACCTGTTTTTCCCATGGTAATATCACAAGGGAGTTAGGCTGAGGTTTTAAAAGAGTGGGTATGTCAGTCTTTCTTATTCAGATCCTCTAGAGCAAGGTTTCTCAACCTTGAGAAACTATTTCTATTGACATTCTGGGCCAGACAATTCTTTGATGTAGGGGCTGTCCTCTGCACTGTAGGATGTTTAGCAGTATCCCTGGCGTCTACCCACTAGATGTCACTAGCACTTCCCACTTGTGATATCCAAAAATGTCTCCAGGCAATTTGGTGGGCAGGCTGAGTGAGGCAAATGTCCCCTGAGAGGCAAAATCACCCCCAGTTGAGAACCCCTGCTCTATAGGAAAATAATCAGATTTCTACGACTCTTCCACATCATACACAATAAAATTCTACTTAGAAATGCTACATGTGGCCGGGCACAGTGGCTCAAGCCTGTAATCCCAGCACTTTGGGAGGCCGAGGTGGGTGGATCATCTGAGGTCGGGAGTTCCAGACCATCCCGACCATCATGGTCAGGGTCTCTACTAACAATACAAAATTAGCCAGGCCTGGTGGTGCATGCCTGTAATCCCAGCTACTCAGGAAGCTGAGGCAGGAAAATTGCTTGAACCCAGGAGGCGGAGGTTGCGGTGAGCCGAGATCATCGTGCCATTATACTCCAGCCTGGGCAACAAGAGCAGAAACTCCATCTCAAAAAAAAAAAAAAAAAAAAGAAAGAAAGAAATGCTACATGTGACCAGCACTACTGGACCCTTTTCCTACCCCAGAAAATTATTCCCAACATACCTAAAATCTATGCAGCCTTGATGCTAAAAAGTAGTCTACTTTAGAAAGCCTTACCTCATTTACTAGTGAGGACTAGTAATGTGACTTAAATGTGACTTGCATAAACAGCTTACACTGCATTTTTGCAGACCTTCCCCTTCCCTCCTTGCCACACTTCTGGTGCAATTTTCTTCTTTGCCCCTTGACCCAATCATGAATATAGACATTTTATCCTTGATCTAAATCTGTGCTGTCCAGTGTAGTAGCCACGAGGTACATTTGGCTCTGCAACTGAGGAACTAAATTTTTAATTTTAATTAAACTTTAAAACTCATAATTCACTAGATAACTTTTAAGTATGTTTGAAATAATTTGGATATGTGAATCTATTTTTTTATTTTAAATTTTATGTAATCTCAATATAGATTATTTATGAAAATATGTGAATTGAGATGTCCAATAAGTATAAATACACTGGCTTTCAAAAAATGGAATATAGGATATTTCATTAATAATTTTTATATTGATTAGATGTTGATATAGTAATATTTTGGATATGATGGTTTAAACTAAAGATAATTTCACCTGTCTTTTTACATTTTTAATATGGCTATTAATAAGAATGTTTTAAATTACATAGGTGAATCCCATTATATTCCTATTTATTAGATAGAACTGACCTTCAGTTCTGCAGAAAACCATTCCACACGAAAGGGAGAGGTAATGCAAAGTCTCTGAATAGGGATGAATTTGGTGTGTTACAGGAACTGAAAAAGGCCACGTGTTGAAAGCACTGGATTAAGGGGAAGGTGACACAAGATTAGGTTAGAGAGGTGAACAGGGGCCAGGATGTGTATTCTAAACGTGATGGGGAACTACTAGAAGGGAGGAACATAATCCAATGTTTGTTTAGAAAAGATCATTCTGGCTCCTTAAAGAGGCAAGAATGAGAAAAGAGCAGAAGTAAGGAAATCAGTCCAGAGGCTACTGTAGTAACCCAAGTGAAAGAAGGTAGTGGCATGGACCATGGGTTCACAGTGGATATAAAGAGAAACAAACAGACTTAACGTACATTTTGGAGATGAAAATATAATCTTGCTCATTGTTGTAGATTCCTAAATTCTGCTTGAAAAGATGTTTCTGTATTAGGTTAAACAAATGAAATCCCTGTTTTTGTGGGTCAAAATGGTTAAATACCAGAAATGTAAAATGATTTAACCTAATAGAAACAAATAACGACAGAGAAGAATCAGAGGAATGATACAGGAGAAGGGACGTTGAAATGGGGCTTATTTATTAAAATGAAAATTTTTATTGTTCTCCTTAAATCTCTGTGGAAGCCACCCTTATCAAAAAAAAAAAAAAAAACCCTTTGTTGAAAGGCAAATTGCCAACAAACCCGATGAGATTCAGAACACTGCTGCAATAACATATCTCTGTAGAAACTTATACTTCCATCTGGATAGCAAATTTCCTAAGCTGATAAAACCAGGTTATCAATGAAAGGCCAGAGTACAGAATTTAAAGGAAGAATGCCTGGGTATGAATCTTTGTTCTGCCAGTTACTAGTTATATGACCTTGGCTAATACATTTTTCTCTCTGTGCCTCAGGTTCCCCATCTGTAAAACAGTATTATAATGATATCTACCTCATAAAGTAGGAATTAAATGAGTGACCAAATGTGAAGGGTTTAGAACAGTGGCTGGCCCATAATGTTAAAGTCTTAGCCCCTAACAGCGCACTTAGATCTTTTTGTTAGCATTAAATTCAGCATTTTCTTCCTATCAAAGCTGCTTAAATCAGTTAACTGGCATTTGATCTTCGTGGGCTCATTGTATTGTTGCTGTTGTGTATCTTTTTAAATAATACTCGTAATCTTAACAATTAGCATAATTTTGAACCGCTCCCTAATACCTAACCCCAATCCCAAACCGGACGGTCGAGCCTATCCACCGGCAGAGAACACCACCCAATCTCGCCCTCACTCTGACACTCACCGGCCAGACCTTTTCTTCCGTCCGTTTTCTGCCTCTGGCCCAGGGCCCAGCTCACGTAGCGTTTTCGGGGGCTGTTTGGGAACCGTTAGCAACCGGAAGTGGCTAGAGGTCGCGAGAGAACTGAAAAAGGGGACCGGCCTTTCCCGGCTGCCTAAGCACTTGGGTTCCGGCCTGGAAGGAGGCCCAGGGCTCCCACAAAGAGAAATAAGGGACCTATTTGGATGGATCCCAAGAAACACTGTCTGGCATCTGATTTGAACGAGGCTCGGCGCAGCCGGGCCCTTTTCGCAAAGTAGGCCCACTGCAGACCTGTGGGAACCTCCGGGATGCCTGGGGACCCGCATCTGCCGCTACCCGCAATTTCCTATCCCGACCCTCTCTGCAGTTGTCGACCCCGGCCGGCGGCTTTGAGCGTGGGGTCCCGCAGACCCTGGCACCTAGGGGGCCGAAGCCGAGGGATCTTGGGGTAGAAGAGCGGTCCTACAGAGCTGCCGCTTCGAAAGAGCCCCCAATCGACCGCTGATGGGGAATGGAGGATTTTGCTGTTTTATTGCAGCCCGCCCCCGGAGAAAGGCGGGCTCGGACGTTCTTGACTTTAGGATAGACTGGGGAGGGGTGCCGAGGAGCGTTCTTCCCTTTACGTCTCGCGGTCGCAGACTGTATTTGCTGGTGCCCTGCTCACTGTGATCTCGCAGGACCTTGCGGACTTACGGAGACGAAAAGTGGCCTACTTTGAGCTTCTCTGATCCTTAGGGGAAATGAGTGTCCAAAGAGAAATAGGTGCAGAGTGCCGGCACTAGAATTCTTTAAACCTGGATTCAAATTCTGACTCCACCACTCTCCAGTTAGGACTGAGGGCAATTTATTTTTAACTTCTCCAAGCCTCTGTTTACTCGTTTATGTAACTCAGGCTAATAACGTAGTGTCTATTTCATAGGGTGGCTTTGACTATTAAGTGTGAGAGTGCATGTAAGAACAGTCTAAGGGAATTTCCCTGCCTTTCCCCTTGTCTGCTGTCACTCTCATCCGTGTTAGACAAATGGAATTAATTAACCAACTTCCGCTTTTCTGAAGCACGGGTAAAGAGTGAAGTGCAGGACTTGGGTAAAGGAAAAACCAAGAAGGATGCAAAAGATGGATGGTCATTGTGAGATCCACAGAGGTGCTCATCCCAGCACTTTCACCTCACTTGGCATCTGTCACATGGTGGGTGCTTGATAAGTACATGGGTGAATGAGGACCTACCTAAGCAGAAGGAATTATTGAATAAGACTAGAATTGCAGGGAGAGGATGAATCAGATTGATTAGCTACTTGACAAAAAAAGGCAAACCACTCTTCCTGTCAGAAATGTATGGCACATCTGCATATTTCAAGGGCTGCCACTTACTGCAACTGGGAAGGAGATCTCAGAACCGACACCTCAACTATGGAAGCTTTAATCTATTGACAGCAAATGCAACATAGCAAGTAATATAAGACAGAATGTGATCAGTGCAAAATCGAATAATAAAGTCTTGAGAGGGGGTTATTAGAATAATAGACGAGTGTTTAGATTGAGTAGTGAGCAATGAGATAAGTCCTTTGACTTGGGGGTACAGGGGAATTATGACCAGGGGTATGGGATAGGGAGAAGGTCATTCTGGAAGGCAATAAAAGGCAGACAGGACGCTAGTGGTAGAAAAAAAGGAAAACACTTGTTTATCAATGTAAATCAATGGCGGAAGAATTACATATGACATATGCTATTGAGGAATACCTTTCAACCGTTCAAATGACAAAAGGAGTGTCAGAACAATATATATTCCATTTTTGTTGAAAAAATTTGTTTATATAGATATAATTTGTGGGGTATTTGTACAAGAAAAGGATGCACTCCAAACTTAACAGTGATTACCCCATATTGAAAATTGTGAAACTTTTACCCTACTTGCAAGCTAACAATTTAACTTGCCACAGTTTTATGGATACTAACAGAAGACACTGGACTCCTGCGTCAGAGACAGAAGACTTTATTACTTAATAACACAGGCATCATAAGCTTTATATTCCCTTGTTCCCAAAGCTTATGTTCCCAAAGCCCACAGAGGGGCCTAAGCTTGGCATTCCCCTGCTAGGATGGAACAGTGGGTTTGCAACCTAGCAGAGGAATGCCAAGCTTAGGAAGCCCAACCTTTGCTCAGCCTTGCCCCAGAATGAGCCATTATCTTTATTATCCTGGTCAGGAAACAACTGTGATCTAGAAGGAGATACAAACATCCTTGAAAACCTAACCTCAAAGAAAAATCTACCATAAGACTAGGAGTAATTTGAGAAGCCATTAAAGAATTATCTCCCAACATTCTAGGTAAATACTATTTGAGGGTGGAGATGTCAGCTTTTAAGAATTTTATATAATATTAATCTTTATCATGTTTCATTTATTTTTAAAAATACAAAAAATAAAAGGCAAGCATAGAAGTTTAAATTTTACTTAGAGATAAGGAACCACTCAGGGTCAGTGATTGGAAGAATGATAATGATATTTAAGGACCACGTCTTGTATAGTTAGGAAGGCTATCTCAAGGCTGTTGCAGTCACATAGGTGTGAAGTAATTAGAACTGAGGATGGTGGTTATATTAATGGAGAAAAGTAACACTTCAAAGGAGAAATCTGGCTCTGATAATTTCTCCTTTATCTCCATGTTTCATTGAGTAAACTAAGGAAGCCTCTCAAGCCTGAATAACTTAGAAATTGGCGATATTATCAACCATTCTAACGGATATGTGGTGGTAACTCATTGAGGTTTTAACTTTGCATTTCCCTGATGAATAATGGTTACTTTTTAGTGTGCATACTGGCCATTCTTTTATCTTTTGTAAAGAAAGTGTTTAAATCTTTTGCCTATTGGTGTTGAATTATCTTATTCATTAAATTGTGAGAGTTCTTTATATATTCTGGATAGTTCTTTGTCAGATAGATGTATTACAAATATTTTTCAGTGTGTAGCTTTTTCTTCACTTTCTTAATGGTGCTTTTTTTGAGAAGATTTAAATTTTGATGAGAATTTAAGTTTAAAATTTTGAAGTCAAATTTATCAGTTTTATCTATTACAATCAGTGTCTGTGTGTCCAGTTTGAGAAAACTACCTATGGCATGACGCTATTTTACTTCCTATGTGTACACAACTTTGTACATAGTATGTGCAGTCATAGTTGTGTGCACATTGAATTTGTACAACTACATATGTGCACAACTTCAGACTTAAAAAAAATTTATTTGTTTATTTATGTTGAGACAGGGTCTTGCTCTATTGCCCAGGCTGGAGTGCAATGGCAGGATCTCAGCTCACTGCAGCTTCTGCCTCCCAGGCTCATGCGATTCTCCCGCCTCAGCCTCTGGAGTAGCTGGGACTACAGGAGCCCACTACCATGCCTGGCTAATTTTTGTATTTTTTGCAGAGATGGGTTTTTGCCATGTTGGCCAGGCTGGTCTCAAACTCCTGAGCTCAGGTGATCCTCCCGCGGCTTCACAAAGTGCTGGGATTACAGGCATGAGCCACCGCGCTCAGCCAAAAAAGTTACTTTTAAAATGTGAAAAAAGAAACTGAAAGTAGAGTTCTAGTCTGTCACCAGTTACTTCCAGTTACCATCCCAGGTGGAAAGCAACAGCTGTGAAATAAAAAGCAAAAATAATTACTTTGAAGGAGTCCAGAAGCACTGTAGCTTCCCAGTGTTTACTATTATTTACTTGTTTTCATGTGATAATTAGATGACAAAACCCTTAAATCAAAACGACTTTGTCAGTACGCAAAATATTGGGGAGTTAGTAATTGGGAAGGGATAGAAATGTTGGTGGTGGCTACCAGCAGGAGCAGATAAAGAGGGAAATTAAGGTGAAAATTGGAGGAGCCCTGAGAACTCAATAATAGGTGGTTGGGAAAGGTGCTGAAGGAAATAAATACATGAGACTTAAACAACAAAAAATAACACTTGCCACAACCTCCACCCCTGAAATCCTATTAGTCTCAAAAGTTAAAAAGCTCTAATGCAACAGGTCTGTAAAGAATGAACACAGGGCCAGGGTGGTGTCTCATGCCTGTAATCCGAGGACTTTGGGAGACTGAGGCAGGAGGATCACTTGAGCCCAGGAGTTCAAGACCAGCCTGGGCAACATAGTGAGACCCCCGCCCCGCCCCGCCACCCCGTTTCTACAAATTTTCTTTTTTAAGCTGAGGGTGGTGCACACCTGTAGTCCCAGCTACTTGGGGGGCTAAGGTGGGAAGACTGCTTGAGCCCAGAAGGTTGAGTCTGCCGTGAGCTATGATCACACCACTACACTCTGCAATAGAGACCCTGTCTCAAAAAAAAAAAAAAAAGGCAAAAAAAGAAAAAAAGACTAACAAAGAAAGAATGAACATAGATTTGTTCCCCATATCTTGTGGTATTAAACCTAGGGTCTACTCTTCAAGCTTACATCATAGGTTTAGCATTAAAACAGCTAAGCAGCAAAGCAGATGCTGTAAGCGATAGAAATTCATTAAGATAGGAAAGAGTGGGAAATATGTAAAGATCCAAAAAGAATATATATTTAATTACGATTTTTTTGAATACTTAATAAAATATGCTATTCCTAAGTGCCATGCCATAGGGATTTCACAAAACTATGAACTGTGATTAGCAGGAATTCCTCATGAAGTTTGTACTCTATGTGAGAGGTCTGGATATGTTTATGAATCGAGAACAGTAAAGTACAGGGTATGTAACGGAGCCAAACGCGAATCCAGTTGGAATCCTAAGGATCCATGAAGTGCTCCCTCCTCCAACACTTTCCCAGCCTCCTATTCACAGCTCCAGCCTCCCCACGTCCGATATCTACCCCCAGGGGACCGTTACTATTGACAGCGAGCGCGCGGAGCTGCATGGGCACACAAGGCGGAGGGGACACCAAGGTCCGTTATTCCCCAGCACGTTCACTGCCCCAGCGACAGCGCAAGCCTGAGGCACGCAGACGCGGGAGGAACCCGAGGCACAGCACACAGCAGGTGAGGGGCGTGGTACTCCGGTACCCTCAGTCGGCCGACCATAGAGCTTGTAGACCTCCAGGACTCCTAGAGAGCTTCCGGAAGTGCCTTTGGGGCAAGATGCGTGCTGGCCGGTGTTGTGCCTCCGCAGATTTAGAAGTTAGTGGCCGGAGGGGCCTGGTCCGAGTACAGCTTTCATCGCCTTTACTCCCCGACCTTCCTTCGAGTCTGTTTATCCGTTGCAGCCTCCCTTCCCCACGACGGGGCGCCTCTGCAACTCACAGTGAGTACGGTCGGGCTCTGGGCCGGAGGAAAGTGGGTGCTTTGTGGCTGGTCCAGGCCGCAGCTGAGGACTGGCCTGAGGGGTCCGGAGAGGGGCCTGTGCGGTGTTCGGCGCCGCGGACCGATTCTGACGCCTTAGTTGCTGTTGCAGGCAGAGTACGTCCCCACGAATTGCCCTTGAACTTTTTGCGAGGGAACCTTTTATGAAGCTTTCTTCATAGATAATCGTGTTGTGGTATGTTTTTGTAGTCGATCTTGTTTATCTTAAAATGGGGAACGCCCCCCCCATGTTATTTTTTATCCAACTATTTCCAGAGTCTGAATTGTTTTCACTTAGCGCTCTTTTGCGTTTAGGTCACAACAAAATTCTCAGTTTTTAAAAAAGACATATTTTGCTTTTGGAAGCCCCGTTTATCCATGGAAACCAATTTTTGCTGTTACTCTTCTTTCTTTAGTGTATTCAGAAACTGGTGGTGTGTTGACTAGATAATTGTACGAAAGTTTTTTTTTTTTTTTAATTTCAGGGTAATTCAGAATTCAACATTATCAGAATGCCTATTTCATTTGTTAAAGCAAACTGAAGTTAGCCAACGAGGAACTCTGGGAGGGCCCCATTTCCAAAACTCTGGTTAGTCATGAGTAATTTTTGTCAGGCTACTTTGACTGCCACCACCACCTTTAAAAACATATTTCTGTTGTTTGTTAGTTCCGTTGAGTATATTTACGTAGCAATCATTGTTTTAGCAAATACATACATGTTTTGAATTTCTGTTGTTTAAATGTAAAATGTGATAGATGTTAATTAAAACTTTCAGCTAATGCAATTTGAGATAACAAAGCATAGTATTGGCTTCACCTACTTTTTCTTGGATTTTAAATCCTGGAAAATGTCTTTTTTGTTTTGTTTTCAGTTCCCAAACATTTCTCAAATTAGACATAGTCTGAAGGAAGAATACATTCCTTCCACAACTATTGAAAAAATAATACTGTTAAAATTGAGTTGTGCCTTCAGCATCTCACAGGATTACAGTATTTAAAATCCAGAGGAAGCTTTAAAGATTGCCTTTTAAACTCATGTAAACTTGACTAGGTGTTCTTTAAGGAGACTATGTAAAAATCAGTCTGTATCCACAAAGTGCTCACCAACTTAATACAGACATGTACGCACAAAACTGAGAGGAAGGTACATACTGGAGTAATTTTGCACTCAGTTATTTATAGGTTGTAATTCTCAAAAACCAGCTGATCAGAGAGGGAAGAGACTTAAAAAAATGGAAAATTAGCCACTAAATAGAATAATCAAGATGAGCAATGGGCAAGACCTGTTGGCTGATTTGGTATAAAAAATGAACAAACCTGATAATTAGCTGGTTTTCATCAGTGTTGTTATTGAGACTTTTTAATACCACATCAACAATATAAAGTTCTTGAATGCTGCGCACTTCACATTAAAATATTTTATAGCCTCCTGTACTGGTAAGTAGTGGGATTGCACCTGTGAATAGACTCTGCACTCAAGCCTGAGCAACATAGTGAGACCCTGTCCCTAAATAATAATAATAATATTTTATAGCCATTATGGATGAGGATTGCTCAGTAATAGATGGCCAGTTGTTCAGTAGTTAAAAATGAACCTTGGCTTTAAGGAAATTTATAAGAAAACATGGTAAGACTACCACTATATAACATCACATTCTAAACAGAATTTATGTCCCATGTATTGACCTTTAAGTTTTTAACATTAAACCATAAGTAGCTATTTTAAGAAAATTTAAGAGTTTGTTTTGATTTGAAAAATTAAATTATTTTAAAATTAGCTAAGACCATTTTAAAATAAATTATCTTAAAATTATAGATAATTTATTCAAACAAAAACAAATTGTCAAAACCAAATTGATTACCCTTTCTCAACAAAATCTCAGCATCTTCCTCAAATTCACTCTTCCCCCAAATCTCACTATTCTAGCAAATTCCTCCACTTTCCTGTAAAGTCATAATCAATGAACTATACCCCCAATGTTAATTGATATATTTAACCATATCTTTTGCTCCTTGGTTCTTCTGATCTGTAGTTTACTCTCCACCCTGTTGTTCCCGGCCTTGTCTAACTTGAAAAATAATTTTCAAATTCCCTTTCTTTTCTGTACACACTCTCTATGTAGGATTTGTTTGTATGTTTGTTTGTTTTTAACCTTCCTGGCATTCTTGGATGGCCTTTGAGTCTGTGAACTCTGCCGAAATTGAGTATACAATTTTGTATCTGTGGACATTTTGCTGGAAAGAAGTTCTGTGTTTTCTTTAGGTTGAAGAGTCTATAAACCAACCCCCCTCGCCCCGTGCCACAACTCCAAAAACTGAAAAGATAAGCACTGCCTTGATGATCCGTATGGGGAACTGTATGTACAGTAATCTGATTTTTTTCCTAAGTACCTATCTCTTCTTTGTGGACTATAGGTCTCTGGTTTTATCTTGATGTTAGCATCTCATGACAACTGGTTTAGGGTATGCTACCTTTACTTACACTCTTCTTCATTCTCTACAGTATCTTTGAAATACAAAGATAATGGTCACCTCTGTCAACAAACATTTGCAATAAGGCCATGGCCACATTCTCACAATGTGATAAGTCCTATATTTGGACCATGTTAAAAATGCTTTGGTAGGAATGACAAATGGCAGGGGGATGACAGAGAAGAACTCATGAAAAAGGTAATAGATAAATTAGAGTTAAGAGTTGAATGATTTTAGGCCGGGCACAGTGGCTTACGCCTGTAATCCCAGCACTTTGGGAGGCCGAGGCGGGCAGATCACGAGGTCAGGAGATCGAGACCATCCTGGCTAACACAGTGAAACCCCATCTCTACTAAAAATACAAAAAATTAGCCGGGTGTGGTGGAGGGCGCCTGTAGTCCCAGCTACTCGGGAGGCCGAGGCAGGAGAATGGCGTGAACCCGGGAGGCGGAGGTTGCAGTGAGCCGAGTTCGCGCCACTGCACTCCAGCCTGGGCGACAGAGCAAGACTCCATCTCAAACAAAAAAAAAAAGAGTTGAATGGTTTTAGCTGGACCAAGATTTATCAACCTTGGCATTGACACTTTGGGCCAAATAATTCTTTGTGGTGGGGGCTGTGTTGAGCATTGTAGGATCCCTGGCCTCTATGTACAAGATAATAGTAGCACCCCTTACCCCCAAGTTGTGACAACAAAAATATTTACAGACATTATGAAAGGTCCCTGGGATGGGGGTAAGGACAATATTGCCATCAGTTTTGAACCACTGAGCTAGAGTAAAGAACTCTGTAGTAGAATGGAAGTATGAGAAAGCCACAGCCCAGAAAGGCTTTATGTAAGTGAGTTTAAAGTAGATATAGCCAGCCAGGTTTACATTCATAAAGGGCCTTGCATACCATGCTAAAAAATTTGGTCCCTATTGAAATATTTTCAGGAGGTGAGTCATGTTAGTCATATTACATATTTTTAAAAAATCTCTGGCAGTACAGGGCTACTGTAAAAAAAAAAAGTATCATAAACCTGGTAGTTTAATAGAATAGACACTTACTGTCTCATAATTAGGAAGGCTAGATGTCCAAAATCAGAGTGTCGCCAGACCCATGCTCTTCTAGCTTCTTGTTTTTACTGACAAACTTTGGCATTCCTTGGCTTGCAGCTGCACAACTCCATCTCTGCTTCTGTAGTCACTTAGCTCTCATTCATCTGTGTGTGTGTGTCTTCACATGACCTTCTCCTTTCTCAGAGTCTGTCTCTGTGTCTTTTTTCCTTTTAAAAGTGTGCCAGTCATATTGGTTTAATGGCCTACCCATTCCAGTATAACTTCATCTTAACTTGATTACATCTGCAAAGCCCCATTTCCAAATAAGGTCACATCCACAGGTACTAGAGGTTAGAATGTCCGCATATCTTTTTGAGGGACACATTTCAACACACAGTAGGCAATATTGTGGAACATGAATGGGAAAAAAGCATAACCAAAGTTACCATTGCAGTTCTAGGCAAGAGATGATGTCTATACCAAGGATGGAAACCATAGACATATATTTCACAAAGAAATAGGATCATGAAATTGAACTTTTTTCGGACATCAGGTCTTGTTTCTAAATCTCACTCTTACAAGAAATATAAACATGTTCTGTGTTTGCAATTGTAAATATGGCTAATGTTCTTCGATTCTATCAATAAGATAAAAGATATGGACCTTTGCCCATGGGGAAAATACAATTAAGTTTTGAAGTCAGAATTCCTTTGGAACTAATAAATATACAGTTATGGGAAAAGTAACATTAAAGCAATACACATTTAAGTAACAGAGGTATAGAATGAGAGGAAAATAATTTCCAATTGGAGTCACCAGGAAAGGATTTTTAAAGGCAACAGTATTTTATCTTGTCCTTTAAGAAAGTAGTGTCGGTACTGATGAAAGAAGTCAAAGAAGACTTCAACGGAGAGACACATTGTGTTCACGGAATGGAAAACTCACTGTTGTTGAGATATCAGTTGTCCCTAAAATGAGCTATGGATTCAATACAAATCCAATTCAATAATTTTTTGTAGAAATTAATACACTGATTCTAAAATGTGTATCAAAAGACAACAGAACTAGGAAAGTGAAAATAATTTTGAAAACGAACAACAAAGTTGCAAGACCCACCTACTTGATTTCAAGATTTTAAAAGTTACACAATCAAGACTATTCTGTATTGGTGAAAGAATAGATGTATAGGTCAATAAACAGAACAGAGATTCCAGAAATAGACCCTTACATATACATACATATAGTGAACTGATATTTGACAAATATACAAAGACAGTTAAGTAGATAAAGGAGAATCCTTAAAATGAACCTCCATCCATACCTCAAATTCTATATAAAAATTAACTCAAAATGGATCATAGGCCTAAATGTAAAACCTAAAACTATAAAACTTTTAGTAAAAAACAGGAGAAAATATTTGTAACCTTGGATTAAGCAAAGATTTCTTAGATATGACATCAAAAGCACAGTCAATTAAAAAAATGAACTTTTTTTCTTCAAAAGGCCCTATGAAAAGGATGAAAAAGAGGGAATACTTGCAAATTACATATCTCATAAAGGACTTGTGTCCAGAGGATGTAAGAAACTCAAAACTTAATTTTAAAATAACTAAATTTAAAAATGGGCAGAAGTTTTGAACAAATACTTCACTAAAGAAGATATATAGATGTTAAATAAGCACATAAAAAGATGCTCAACATTATTAGTCAGTAGAGAAATGCATACTAAAGCCATATGAGATATTAAAACCATAATGAGTTGCCACTACACATACACCTATTAGAATATCTAAAATTAAAAACAAAAACAATATCAAGTGCTAGTCAGATTGGAAAACAGTTTTGCAGTTTCTTATAAAGTTATACATATATGTATTTTATGACACAGCAATTTTACCTCTGAATATTTGCCCAAATAAAATGAAAACTATATTCACACCAAAACTCATGCAGATGTTCATAGTGGCTTTATTCATAGTGATTAAAAAACAAAAACAACTCAGATATTGTTCAACTGGGAAATGGATAAACATTTAAACATTCCCACTCCAGAATCTCACATAAATAAAATCATATAGTATGTAGCCTTTTGAGTGTGGGAGTAGACTTTTGGGTTGTAGTTGTCAATAGGGCATCCAGGTTCCTTGGAGTGCTCCATAGAGAGTTTCTGAGTTGGAGGTCACGTCCATAGTAGAGGAAGTTAACCTTGAGATAGGAGGAAAGATGAGGGGCACAGGTAGGATAAGGAATGTTAGGTGGAGAAGAGCAAAGTGTTAGGAAAGTTTTTGACAATACCTTGAATTAGATTATGTAGAAATTAGTCTCATCTGTTAAGAGTAAGGGAAAGGTTGAGAGCTGAAGCGTGTAGAACCAGATTAGTACAGCTGGTGTATCAAAGACTAAAAGGGGTTAAATGAGCAGCCCTGAAGGCCAGCTGAGATTAAACACAAAATTTCAACTAGACCCAGTCTACATGGTTTCCTGACTTTGCTTAGCCATGTTCCACATCCCCAAACAGGGTGATGAAAGCAGAAGGAAGGGGTTTTTCTATGGATGGGTTTGGCATGGCTGGCATGACAGAAAGTTAAGGAAGTAAGAAGTTATTTCTGGAACAGTGGGGAGGATCATTTAATTGGCCGAGCCATGAAGTCCGTGTCATACTAAGGAACTTGTTAAGATACCATAGTTAGTTACAATGACTTTTGACTTGCCTTAACACTATCATATTTTCTTCATGAAGAAGTACCCTTAGAAAGAGGCCCTCAGAAGAGTCTTCTCTTAAGAAGATAAAGAAGGTAGTGGAAACGAACTTCCTGAGCTTTTCAGGCTCTAATGGCTGAAGAATCAAGAAAGCCTTCAGCCCCATCCCCACCAGACCAGACTCCTGAAGAGGATCTTGTAATCGTCAAGGTAGAGGAGGATCATGGTTGGGACCAGGAATCTAGTCTGCATGAAAGTAACCCTCTTGGCCAAGAAGTGTTCCGCCTGCGCTTCAGGCAGTTACGCTACCAGGAGACACTAGGACCCCGAGAAGCTCTGATCCAACTACGGGCCCTTTGCCATCAGTGGCTGAGGCCAGATTTGAACACCAAGGAACAGATCCTGGAGCTGCTGGTGCTGGAGCAGTTCTTGACCATCCTACCTGAGGAGCTCCAGACACTGGTTAAGGAACATCAGCTAGAGAACGGAGAGGAGGTGGTGACCCTATTAGAGGATTTGGAAAGGCAGATTGATATACTAGGACGACCAGTAAGTAGAAGGAGGTATGCGTGCTATGACTGTGGGAGTCCTGGAAGCTTGGTAGAGGGACATAGGCATCACAGTGGGAGAGCAGATGCTTAGCATCAGTTTCTGTTGGATAAGGATGACAATAGTTTTAGTGTAGTATGACTTGTAGAGTTCTTTTTACTTTTGTAAAGGATATAAATCCATTTTGTTTTTGTCGTCATAACATCCCTACGACTGTATTGTTCTTGTTTGCCAGATGGGAACTTGATGCATAGGAAGCTTAAGTTAATTTTTCAGGGGTATCCAAATAATTAAAGGTAAATTTGAGACCAGAAATCAGGCTTTCTAGTTCCTTATTAAAAGATTTTTCTACTGCATAGCACTGCTTTAAGTTTGTTGTTTTCCTCCTTCCTCTGCCTTAGGAGTACAAAATATTGGTGTTCTGTGTAACAGGGAAGGCATCAGCAGAAATCTTTTCCTTTAGTACTAAGCAAAAATGATGCCTTTCTTTCTGTGCTCATTACGTATTCGTGTTCCTTACTGTCCCTAAGAAGTGAGGAAGATTCTGCTGCTTCCTTCCCCAAGCATATATCCCTGTAGATGTGTTCGTGGTCCTCTTTCATTGTTCATTACATTTCGCAAAGGGATTCCTTATTATCCAACTGTCTGTTGTTTCCAGGTCTCAGCTCGCGTACATGGACATAGGGTACTCTGGGAGGAGGTAGTACATTCAGCATCTGCACCAGAGCCTCCAAATACTCAGCTCCAATCTGAGGCAACCCAACATAAATCTCCAGTGCCCCAAGAGTCACAAGAGAGAGGTGAGTAGCCAGATTTCATTGATGATAAGGGGGGGAAGTACAAATAAAAGTCCATTTGGGATACCTATCTAGTTCCTGAAGAACCAGGAACTAAAATCCTGTTTACAGACCAGTCCCAAAGTCTGTGTTTAAATGTTTAGGCTTCAAATATAGATTATTCTTTCTAGTGGTAAACTCATGAACAAATTAAATAATTTGACTTTTTTTTTTTTAATTTTTTTTCCTTTTATTATTATACTTTAAGTTTTAGGGTACATGTGCACATTGTGCAGGTTAGTTACATATGTATACATGTGCCATATTTCTGTTACCACAGTACATTTACAACATACATTTTTGAGGTTATGCTGGTATTGTCATGCCACTTTATTTGGAAATATTTCAGTATGTATTTCCTCAGACGAGCATTTCTTAGGTAACTTAAATAAATAAATTCCTAAATTTATCACAATTAAGAAATGTAGTATTGCTACAATACTAACCTAGGCCATAGTTCATATTTTGACAGTTGCCCCAATTATGTTCTTTCTGGTTCAGAGTCTAGTCTGGCGTCACACTTTGTGGTTAGTTGTCATGGCTGTTTAGTCTCCTTTACTTTGGAATAGTTCCTCAACCTTTCTTTTTTTTTGAAGAGTACAGGTGTGTTATTTTGTAGAATGGCTGCAGTTTGGATTTGCGTGATGTTTGATCATGTTTACATTGAGGTCATATATATTTGGCAGGAACACCTCACCCTGCCAAGGATACATGACCTAAATCTTAACAAGAGATGTTGTACTCCTTCTTAGGGGTACAACAGGAATTTGTCCTATTATTGGTGGTGTTATCTTTGATGACTTGGTTAAGGTTATTCTTGCAGGGTTAATCATTGTATAGTTACTATTTTTCCCTTTGTAACTAATAAGTAATTTGTGGAAGATACTCTTGAGTGTATTTAAATATCTTAGTCCTCATTAAACTTTGTTGCTAAAACACTAGTTTTAGTGTTCATTGGTACTTCTTGACTGACTTAGTGATTACTAGAATGGTTATGAAATAGTGATTTTCTAACTCTGTCATTCCTTCTACATTTCTTTATTGTAAAGGAGAGTGCTCCCTTCTCCCAATTTTATTATTTTTTATTTATCAGTATGGACTCAAATTCGTATTTATTCCATAAATATTCTGTTACTGTCTTTATTTTGTTTTTGTTTTGTCTTTGAGACAGAGTCTCACTCTGTCATCCAGGCTGGAGTACAGTGGCACGATCTCAGCTCACTGCAGCTTCTGCCTCCCGGGTTCCAGCGATTCTTAATCCTCAGCTTCCCCAGTAGCTGGGATTACAGGTGCACGCCACCATGCCTGGCTAATTTTTGTATTTTTGTAGAGACGAGGTTTCACTGTGTTGGCCAGGCTGGTCTCGAACTCCTAGCCTCAAGCGATCTGCCCACTTCAGCCTCCCAAAGTGCTGGGATTACAGCCATGAGCCACTGTGCTCGGCCACTGTCTTTATTTTGCTAAATCATCTCAGATTTGGCCATAGAAGGCCCCTTCAGTCTGGCTCTTGTATCCTCTTGACATTTTCCCATTGTTTTTTTGAGAATTTTTTTACTTTATTGCAGAATGAGGTGTTCCAGTCTCATCTTCCCCTGCATTTCATATTTTTTCATTAATGTGATTTAGAGTAGTTTATAAATATGAATTTTTAATATTTCTAAAGAAGCATTAAAACACTTAATACTTCTTGTCTAAAGTCCTAAAGCTTGTTACCTGAGATACAGTAATCTATATTTTAATAATAAGCCGTTTAATATCTATAGAAAGCAAATACTGGGAGCCATAGTAGACATTTCAGAAAGGTAATTAATTAATAGAGACTGGTTGATTCTGATACTTGGTTTGCCAAGAGATTAGGACCTAAGGAAATACTGTATACAGCCACAAAGACAGAAGTAGTTTTGATGGTAGAGAAGAAATTGAAAAGCGATTCCTGTTAGGAAACCAGTATACTTTCTATTTTTGAGTGTAACTTCAGTCTGACTTCAGGGACATCGGGGTGCGTATGTTTTGTGGGGCAGCCATAGATATGGCCCCAGAATCCAAGATATCAGCACTTCATGTGCAAAATCTTTGGCATACATGTATATCTGCTGAAATAAAAATAATTTGGAATGGGTGAGTGCCAGCTCCCACAACCACAGGACAGGACTGGTCTCATTCATAGCTCCTTTCTCCTCTCAGCCATGTCTACTTCCCAGAGTCCTACTCGTTCCCAGAAAGGAAGTTCTGGAGACCAGGAAATGACAGCTACACTTCTCACAGCAGGGTTCCAGGTGAGTTGTGCTCCTTCTCACTGAAACGCCATAGCTGTGCTTGTCAGTGTTTGTGGCATCTGCCCTATATCTTGACTGTCTAGTTTGTAGCAGTACCTACCCAAAAAGTTGTCCCAAAAATTCTTTTGCCTAGGGACAGATTGATCCTGAATTTCCCCCAGTAAATCTCATGCATTTTCCTCTTCTTCCTAGCTATTCAGATCCCTTTACATAGTACATTCCCAAGTTGTAATTCTCTCCCAATACTGGTGGATCTCTCAAGCTCTATAGGTTTGAGCTGTGGAACAGTCCCAGTCCCCAAATGGGGATCTTGTTTTGTTTCAGACTTTGGAGAAGATTGAAGACATGGCTGTGTCCCTTATTCGAGAGGAGTGGCTTCTTGATCCATCACAGAAGGATCTGTGTAGAGATAACAGGCCAGAAAATTTCAGAAACATGTTCTCCCTGGGTAAGGAGAGGTGTGGTTATTATTGTCATTTTAGATTTTTTGTTTGTTTGTTGTTTATGTGTATAGTAGCTACAGCCTTTCTGAAAGACATAGTTAAGTTTAACTCAGGATCCAGCAGAGGGATATGATGTTGAGATTTCTTGAAATCTTACGTGAAACTTTTGTTCTCCTGTCCAGAACTTCCTTACATTTTGTACCAGGGTACTGGCGTTTTTGCCAGTTGGAAATTGACATCTCAGAGGTGCTCTCTGAGTTCATATATTTCTTCTCCAAGTTGTCATGGGATTCCTACATATATTTTTCTCACATAAATTAATTGTATCTCCTCCCTTTTGATGACTGGGCATTTTCCCATTTCTGTCCTGCTCATTAGTTCTTTTAGTAGTTCCATATTCCTCTCCCCAACTTTCACCTCACTTCAGTTCATCCTTTCCTGACTTTAGTTCCCCTTCCAATTAACTCTCTTTTTTTAATGGTACCTCTTTCCCAGTTGACTAGCTCATATTAAGCAAGGTCACTATTAAGAAGCTATTTTGGAGACAGAAGTTTTGTGTTTACTTATAGCTGTTCATGTGTACTTTCCTTTTCCCCTATCTTCAGTTCCTTTCTCCTAGCATAAAGAATAGGTTGTGACATTGGCTTGATGTTTGTTTATTACATTTTTATTTCAGGTGGTGAGACCAGGAGTGAGAACAGGGAATTAGCTTCAAAACAGGTAATATCTACTGGAATCCAGCCACATGGAGAGACAGCTGCCAAATGCAACGGGGATGTTATCAGGGGTCTTGAGCATGAAGAAGCCCGAGACCTTCTGGGCAGATTAGAGAGGCAGCGGGGAAATCCCACACAAGAGAGACGACATAAATGTGATGAATGTGGGAAAAGCTTTGCTCAGAGCTCAGGCCTTGTTCGCCACTGGAGAATCCACACTGGGGAGAAACCCTATCAGTGTAATGTGTGTGGTAAAGCCTTCAGTTACAGGTCAGCCCTTCTTTCACATCAGGATATCCACAACAAAGTAAAACGCTATCACTGTAAGGAGTGTGGCAAAGCCTTCAGTCAGAACACAGGCCTGATTCTGCACCAGAGAATCCACACTGGGGAGAAGCCATATCAGTGCAATCAGTGTGGGAAGGCTTTCAGTCAGAGTGCGGGCCTTATTCTGCACCAGAGAATCCACAGTGGAGAGAGACCCTATGAATGTAATGAGTGTGGGAAAGCTTTCAGTCATAGCTCACACCTCATTGGACATCAGAGAATCCACACTGGGGAGAAGCCCTATGAGTGTGATGAGTGTGGGAAAACCTTCAGGCGGAGCTCACATCTTATTGGTCATCAGAGGAGCCACACTGGGGAGAAACCCTACAAATGCAATGAGTGTGGGAGGGCCTTCAGTCAGAAGTCAGGCCTTATTGAACATCAGAGAATCCACACTGGAGAAAGACCCTATAAATGTAAAGAATGTGGGAAAGCTTTCAATGGGAACACTGGTCTCATTCAACACCTGAGAATTCACACAGGGGAGAAGCCCTACCAATGTAATGAGTGTGGGAAAGCCTTTATTCAGAGGTCAAGTCTCATTCGACATCAGAGAATCCACAGTGGTGAAAAATCTGAATCCATAAGCGTTTAGGAACAACATCAGTTAGAGTTTGAGCATTATTCAGCATTAGGGAAACCACACACTGGTGAGAGGTCTTTCAGTGTACTAAAAGGCAGAAAGGTCATCACAACTTTAGTGTCAGAATCTATAGTGGTGGCAAAGTTAGGATAGCTCTTTAGTAATTTGGGCCCAGTGCCTTGGTGAAGGTTGATTAGCTTGACTGTCTTTGAAAGTATCTGATGGAGCTCCTGATGACCTAATGTATCCTTTAGAAATTTAAAATAGCATTAGAGCAAGTTGCTTGTCATGGCTTGAAGAGCTTAACTTTGTCTTTTGGGTGAGTAGCTATAGGTTTGAGAGAGGCTGGCTACTCCTAGTTCCTGTGCTTCTTCCCATCTCCTGTGATCCCCCTCTCCCATTTATTCCCTTGAAGGTGCCCTTGTATTCCTAATCTGATCTAAGAAGCTGCTGTAGAGTCAGAAGTAGCTTCTGTGTGAAACTTATATTTGTATGTAGCTTTCTAGGAAAATTTTACAGACACTTAAAGTATTTATGCTTAAGTGTGCATTTTTTTATTCTAATATTCCTTCTAGTCAGTGGAAATTTGTATTCCCATACAAACTCAGAATGCTATATTTTTAACAGCACTCCAGCATTTTTCTTCATGTATCACCTTCACTGACTCCATTGAGTCATTGAGCATCTGTACATATCCTTCACCACCCCCAGTCCCAGCACCTGTGTCAGTAAAGAAAGTGGACACATTAGTAATGGTTATGGGAGTAATACAGAGAAAGAGGTGAGTGGAGACTCAGCCCAGCTGCTCTTGAGCTTGGATAGTTATACATTTTGGTGACTTCTGACTCTCCTTCCACCTCCCCACTGTACACTGTGGTACAGATAGTTGGCACTATCCTAGTTATGGCATCAGGTAGGAGAAGGAGACGAAGATGCTTTAGGAAGATAAAAACCTTACAAAGAATGTATACTCATCTTTTTTGGCCCATTACAATACTGCTTTCTCAGGTTCTTAACAGCCTGTGCAAACTCCCTGACTAGATGGTCTGTCACTCCTATCATTACCTTGCACCCATCTCTTTAGATGGCCTCAGCACCTCACTCGTTATTCTCCATCTGTTTCTTGCCATTAGTTTATATGACTTTAATATCCACAGTGGTAATCTAATACCTTACCTCACAGGTTTTCATTCTTTTGAACTCTGGTGCACTCCATCTGTAATCCATGTCTATAATCTACCAACAAAGATGTACTCTTAAACTCAGTATCACCAGGCACTATATTTCATCTTTGAGGCTTTTGTTATACCAAGGAATACTATATAAAGTAATGAGACTGGTTTAAAGTAACATGCCAGAACTTACGCATCCAATGTGGGTTGTCACTTGTTATTCCCAAGTACTATTATTCCATACTACTATATTCTTCCAAATATTTGGAACACTCTTAGAATTCCCATTTAATAAACCATATGAGAAAACCCTCTATTACTCTTACACTTTAGTTTTACCATTTGAGTAGCCACTTATTCACCAGAGTTGGAATTGAGAAATTTTGGGCTTTCCAAAATTAACCTTTAAACTTAAAATTGATTACATTGAGCCTATTCAGAAAAAAAATTATATAGGTTCTGATGAAAGCTTCATAATTTCACCCTGTGACTATCCTGAAAAGAAATAATAATCATTTTATGATTGATGGGCCAAAAAAAGCAATCAAAGTCTTACGTCATAGAGGACCACCTTTTGGATCATAAATTCTTTCCCTATAACATTCCTTCTCTGCCTCTCTATGGCCCACTTTGACCACTAACAACATCAGAATTATCTACATCAATTTCATTGAGCCATTGGTGAATGAAGACACCCATCACTTGTCATGTTGGTTTCCAACAGTCCTTTCGATTATCCTTTATTTTCTTATCCTCCCTTCTCTTGTTTCTTTTATTTATAAGTTACCATTCCTAGTTTCTTTGTACTTGAAATTTTAAGAAACCAGAAACAAGTAAATCTGGTTGTATCTAGATCTTTGCTCTGTGTTTCAGTTGTGCCTTACCCTCTGTAAGATACTGATTCTTCCTGGGGCCAGTATTACCTTGTATGCAAATATTACATATGATGGGTGCATTGTCAGAGGGAAAATATATGTGTATGTACACATGTGTATGTACACACACACACACACCTGCCATACACTTTAGAAGAACGCTTCTCTTCTATTCCAATAAAAAGTCCTTTTAGCAATGCAACATATTAACAAAATTGGGTGCATTCAGGGTGGTATGGCCATAGACCAGAGCAACACATTGAAATGTATACAGATGTACTAGCTAAAGTCTCTTTATGTGTCAGTATTAAGAGTAATATGTAGCCAGATTACTTAAATCTCAGAATTACTAAGCATGTGGCATAAATTTGGAGAAAATAATATGACTAGAAAAATTAGTGTTATATTGGGTGTGAGAAAAGACTGTGTCTTGAAAGAATTATCAAAGCTGATACAGCACATATACAGAATTAGCCAAATGGTATAAGACAATAGAAAAAGGCTGTGGATTCTTTGAGGACATCACTAGAAATCATTCTTTGTCTCAAGTTCACACTCTTAGCATAGAATATTATTGACTAGGCTGTATGACATTTTGAGCTCTTAACTGTGAATGGCATTCATTAAGCTCCTTTATCCTATAGATTCTATCTTTATGTTCATCTGAAATGAACTATTCATCAGTACTTTCTCCTCCCATCCTAAGCTTCTCATTTTAGGAACTGACATGATAAGGTGGTTCTTTCATAACTCTAATGCCATCCAACATAGCCCTGGGAGAGGCATGTTAGGTTTCAGAGATTTTCTCCATGGAGCAAGGTGCAGTGCTAGAATATGGTGGTTGATTCCCAAACAGAGCAGTTAACTTTACTCTTGGTTCTGAGTCTCCAAATAATAATAGCCGACGTTTATTGAGCACTTACTATGTGCCCAACCCTGTTATGCCTTTCTCAGGCTCATGATAAATGTATTAGTCTGTTCTCATGCTGCTATTAAAGACATACCTGACACTGGGTAATTTATAAAGGAAAGAGGTTTAATGGACTCAGTTCCACATGGCTGGGGACGCCTCACAATCATGGTGGAAGGCAAGGAGGAGCAAATCATGTCTTATACATGGATGGCAGCAGGCAAAGAGAGAACTTGTGCAGGGGAACTCTTTATAAAACCGTCCGATCTTGTGAGACTTATTCACTATCACAAGAACAGCACAGGAAAGTTCTGCCCCCGTGATTCAATTACCTCCCACTTGGTCCCACCCACGACACGTGGGAATTGTGGGAGCTACAATTCAAGATGAGATTTGGATGGGACACAGCCAAACCATATCAATAGGTATTATTTTATCCCCCATTTTATAAATGAGGAAACGGAGGCTTAGTTGAGTGAGCTGACCAATATCACCCAGCCAGTATGTGATAAAACTGATTCTGACCCACACAGTTTGATTCTAGAGCCTGTTCTGACTACTGTGCTAAGGTGTGTATAATGAACATGGTAATTCTAACCAGCTTTTTAAAAATATGTAGCGCTTGTCATGAGAGGTACTGGGGAAAAGAATGTGCAGTAGAGTGCAAATACATTACAATTACTGGAAAATTGGTGGAAAATGCTTTTTGGGGTTACAATTATATCATTTTTAAGTGTTGATGCTTTGTAGTACTACAAAGCTAAATTGTGCAAACAAAACATATTTAACAGAGTAATTGGGAGGATAAAGCAATAATAAATTCAAATATATTTTTCTCCAAACTGCCAAAGGGAAAGTAGAATTGTGGAGGGAAATGAAATATCCATGTACCAGGCCAGGCAGATGGTCAGTTAGGATGACAATAGTAAGTTCATCTACAGCATAAAATGTGAAATGCTTTCATCCTCATTGCCCATTTCCAACTACCATTCTGTTTCTCCTCTATTGTTCATGGTTTTTCAAACATATCTTTGATTTTTCAACCCCCCTTTTTCATTAATCTGTTCTTAAAACTTCTTTTTACTGGCTTTCATACTTAGCATTCCAGTGAAATGTTCTTAGACTCACCAGTGGACAAATAATAAGGCCTTTTTTTATTATTATTTCTTGTCTTTTTTGATCTAATTTATATTTTATATTGTTGAATTCTCCCTCCTTTGGCTTGTGGGATCCTTTTTCTCTAATATCTGTCTTTCTTTTTTTAGTTGATCTTTCCACCCACTCCCCTTTCTCCTCTTCTCCACTGAGAATAATCTCCCTGTCTTTTATTCACTTCATTTTCTATACTCCTATTTATCCATTTTGATTGTTTATACCTACTATTTGTATTCGAATGACTTCATTTTTCCCACCCTGTGGGTCAGTTTGTGACTTTTGGAATTTTCCACAGGTACCTGTACAACTTGATATTTGAAAACAGGATTCATCACCATATATCCCCAGCCCCCGTTTTCTTTTTAAACAGGCCTCATTGCGTAATTCCTTTGCCCTGAAAAGTGTCACCACCTTTATATTTTTACCCCAGCCTTGGAGTTATCTTTTTCTGCTCTCCATTCTCCATGTCCAAAAACTTGCTGTCAGTCCAGTTTTTAATCAGTTTTCTCCTTGAGGCTTGATCTCCCATTTCTCTCATCCCATTATAGCTTTTCATGTAGATCTGAGGCCCAGGTTACTGTAATTCTTTTTTTTCCAATTTCCTTGCTCCCAGGATCCCCATCTTGTATAAAGTTTCTAAGGTGCTCCTCCTCAAACTCCATTTTTACAATATCCGTATTGTAAAATTTTCATTTTCAGTAACACCCAGTAGATAATTTTTCAAAGACGATCCTCCTCAAACACCCATTTTTACAATATCTCTATTGTAAAATTTCATTTTCACTAAGTAACACCCAGTAGATAATTCCTATGGAGCAGTGGTGTTCCAAATTCTCCATTACCTCTATGCCTAATATTCATCAGCCTTCATTACTCTCTAGCATATTCACCTTGATTCAACAGATTCAAACTTCCTACAGCCTTCTACTGATGTCTTACAAGCTCTTGCCTCTGTGCCTTTCTCATGCTATTCTTTTTGCTTAGATTGCTCTTTGGTCCCAGCTCATGTTCATCACTCCCTTCAAAGCCTTTCTTCCTTTATATCTTCTGACTGAGCTCTCCCTGATTGACATCACCTCATGCGATGACCTCCCTCATTCTGTGCTGCCTCAGCACTTATCTTTTGAGTTTGTACTGTGGTCCATGTACTTACTAATATGTTGCTTTGTAATTATTTTCTAGCACTCTGTGTTACAGTTTCATATTTGTATTTATTTCCAAAATTAAATTGTAAGCTCCTTGAGGGCAGGAATAATAACTTTTACATTTGTATCTCTGCACCCCCGAGTGCCTAGTATAGTGCTGAGCACATAGTAGGCGTTTAATAAATGCTTGTTGAAGTATTGTGTGGATTATTTGTGGTGGTATCTACAGAAATTTTTAAGCTGTTTTCAAGAATGTCTCTTACCACTTTGGGTGCTCAAAAATGTACAGACCTATTTTCGTATGCTAGCATAGTATATCAGGATCTGCCTCTACCTAAGAGTAAGGCCAAAAAAAATTCATCTTTAGGAAATTATGTGTGAAAAGCTGAAGCTCTCCATTTGGTCAGCCTTATTGGTCCAGAAAGAAAATAAGCACTAAAGACTATTGTGTGAAGGTTATAATTCCAAAAGTGCTTGAGAATAGGCTTTTGTATATGAGATTAGTGGTTCTCTTTGGGAGAAATTTGGCAATGTTTGGGGACATTTTTGGTCATACCATTGGTGGGCAGCTGGGATGCTATTGGCATCTAGTAGGTAGAGGCTGGGGATGCTGCTAAGCATCATGTTTGCACAGGACAGCACCTCACCCCCCCGCATCGCCCCGCCCCTGCCCCTGTCCCCGCCCCACAACAAAGAATGATCTGGCCCAAAATCCTTAATGCTGAGGTTGTGAGACTTGATATATTTAAGGTAAATAGGAGAAAGAGATACGAAGTACTGGCAATACAATTAGAAAAATTAGCTATGCCAAGCCTTAAGAGAATCCTGTGTGTGTGCATATTTTGTGGTTTTTAAGACTATAAAAGAAAAAGAAGACTTAATGTTTGGCATTCACAGCAACATATGTCAGGGTGTTGATAAACAATAAAGTTGATGATGTTTTAAGGTTGCTTTCAGCATCAGATCTGCCATCATCCCTATGCCAAGTGTTTCAGCATACAAGTGTTACAGAAGTACAAGTCTAGTTTTAGTCTTCCATATCTTGGTTCATTATAGCATCAAAGGTAAAATACTGGGGGCTGTCTCTTTAACAGAGGGGCTATAACATCAAAGATTTAGCCTTAAGGACAACATATGACCCTCAGTCCCTTGGACAGCCTCTAGGCAGGAATTACCAGCATGCCAAGGAAACCACAAGCCAGAATATTGTCAGAGTTTGTCAAGTAAAACCATTCCAGTTTTATTTGTTTTTAACGTAGTTTTTAACATACTGTGTTAATCCTATTTAGGAAGGCAAATATGTAGGAGGAAATGTGATTTCCTAAATTAAATCGTTAAAAAGCAGGCCTTTAGAAGCACTAGCTTGCTTTTGCAGCAGGGGTACTTAATTCAGCAGGTTTAGAAAGGTTCAACCCCTGGGTGCAGTGGCTTATGCTTATAATCCCAGCACTTTGGTAGGCCAAGGCAGAAGGATTGCTTAAGGCCAGGAGTTCAAGAGCAGCCTGAGCAACAGCAAGACTGTCTCTACAAAAAAAACTTAAAAAATAAAAAAGTTAATCGGGTGTGGTGGGATGCATCTGTAGTCCCAGCTACTCAAAAGGATATGGTGGGAGGATCCCTTGAGCCCTTGCAGTGAGCTATGATTATGCCACTGGGCGACAGAGGTCTCAAAAGTTCAACCCAAGTTAGAAAATCAGTTTAAATGTGTAATATACCAAAGAAATAACTGCTTGCTCTGTCATATTTAAATATTCATAGTTTAGAATGCTAGGTTTAGTGTTCCAATCCATTATTCTGTAAATGGAGGCTCAAAGAGGCCACTTGGTTAGGTTTCCTGGGGCTTTGCCCATTTCTTTTCTCCCCTAGTTATGCCCTCAGGTGTGACCCTTGTATATTCTTAATTCATGCTCTGCCATAAGATGGATTCAAACTTTGTGCCTCCACCTGTAATGATTCATTTTAGGAATTACTCCTTTTATCATCTTTATATCCAAACCAGTATATTTACTGACTACAGTGCTTTGAGTTAAGTTCTTTCATAAATAATTGAATAGCCGGAGAAATTTTGCAGTATCGCAGTCATGTTTTGAAAATATTGTTCTTGGTTCTTGTCTCTAATCTTTGAGAAAGCACACAGGATATAGTGTGTTGGCTTTCAGATCACTAATAATTAAGACCAGAGTTCTGTGGCCCCGTGTGTCGCTTTAAGGGATCCTGTAGGGCCCACACGAGAAATTTCACCAACTGCACTATCTTTAAATTCCAACATACACGGGTGGTCCTGCCCTGGATAAAACTCAGGAAGCAAAATCAACCTTCGAGAGAGGTGAGGTAGGAAGTCTGAGCATTGCCGACGGGCCGGAGCAAATCGCTCCCGGGCTAGACCCTGCCTACACCGCGGCGGGGACAGGTGGAGGTTTCAACCCCTGTTTGGCAACCTCGGGCGCAGCCAGGCCCCGCCCAGAAATTTCCGGGACACGCCCCGGAAGTACTGAGAGGGACTTCCGCCCCGAGGCGAGGCCTCGGAGCTGGTTGCTGCTCACAGGCAGAGAAACGCTGGTATGCATTTGGGTGTCGCTTGGGTGGATGTTGCACAGCTGCAACCCCTCAGACCTCGTCTCTCCGCGCCTGCCTGGGTGGAATGTGTGCAGGAACTCCAGGAGAGGCAACCCATCCTGGGACGGTGGGGATTGTATCCAAATGCAGTCTTCCAGGAAAGGGTTTTTCCTCGAGATTTAGTGCCGCAGGTGCCCAGAGTTGGGACTACTTCCCTTTCAGTTACAACCCTGGTTTTTACTGCCGTCTTCAGAGCTTCATTGAGTGCCAACTACAAGTGTGCTTCTGGTACCAATTGGTATCACTGCCCACCAGATCTTCAGCTCTCTTTTTCAAACAAAAGGGGGAAAATGCAAATAATTGGAAATAAATGTTCGGTGCTCTAAATTCAGGAGAGGCTTCTTCCACCACTTAATTGTGCCCGTGACATTTCATTTCGAATGCAGAATTTATTTTCTCTCTACTTCAGCTTGGCAATAAATGGCTACCCTTCCCTTTAGCAGTCACTTCCATCCACGCCAGGACCACCTTACAGCAACCTTAATGCTGTTCTCTCATGAGCCCTTCCACTATCCCAAGCAGTGCTTAAAGGCAACGGGGAAGATTACCACTGCAGACCTGCTGCCCCAGCATGTGATCTGAGAGCCCTTTGCAAATTAGCTCCTTATTTAACATTGCACTTCTTTCCCCCCATAACCCTTAGTAGTATAACACCTATGGCAATCTTTGCTTTTTCTTTGAGTAAAATGTTTCTTTTACAGAAGTGTTCCTGAAAACTCGTCAATTACAGGAAAAGCTGCATGACTGCATCTTTAGAGGAGATGGTTTCGCTGGTTCCAAGGATTCTGTTAATGAGAAAACTCCACAGGCCAGCATTCTGTAAGCTGGCTCCAGCAGCCCAGTTGACAGTGGCTGAGGCCAGTTCCTGATCATCCTGAGGAACACCAGGTCTGGGAGAGGGAACAGCACTGGCCAGGGGAGGGAGGATTTTCCTTGGGCAAGTGGCTAAGCTGGATGATTTCAAGGAATTGAGTGAATCCAGACAGCAGGTGGGGAGAGAGATTACCATCTTACAACTTTTGATCTCTTAGGGATTCTTCCCTTTTTTTCCCCTACTTTTTAAGCACGTAAGTCAGAAGCCACACTACCTGTGATTTTGGCCAAGTCATTTTATCTTTCTGTGCCTATATGTCATCTGTCAATGGGGATAATAAAAGCACCTGTCTAGAGTTGTTATGAGGATTACATGAACAGTACCTGCTACATAGGAAGTGCTATCCAGGTATTTGTTGTAATTATTTCTTACTTTGCTTACCTCCCTGGAATTAGCCTGTTCTGCTGATTTATTCATTTCCACAGCGATTCTTTGATAAATTCATGTGTTTAATTTTTTTCTGGCCCCAGCTGTTGGATACAGTCAGGAAATAGGCAAGAAATGCCAGCTCCGGAAGCAGAGGGAGAATAAGATAGTTATTCTCTAGTGCCACCCAGGAATATGCCACTGAAGTGTTAATGACAGACTCTTCCCTCTACAGGAGAGTTGTGCTAAACTTTGATGTTTTGTGGTCTTCTGGGGATTCTGGAAGTAAGGGACCTGAGGTGACTTAACAACAACTGCTGTATGACAGGATCAGGATAAGTGAGTTGTGAATGCTTAGCAGAGTCTGATTAAGTTCAGAGTGAAGCTGGAGCAGGAGAGAATCCAGCTCTGACCTGCCGTTTACACTTTTTTTTATCGTTCAGGAACTTCATCTTGGCTGCCAGTTTTCAGAAATAGAAATTGTAAATATATTTCCATTTTTTTGTCTTTGACTGCTTAAAGTGCTTTTGTTTGTTTGTTTTACCTCACAGGAGTTTTTATTCTATGTGGGTCAAGTTTACCAATCTTTTCATTAATGATCTCTGGATATTGGCTTATAAGGAGGAGGACTTTTCTTTTTTGAGATGGAGTCTCGCTCTGTCACCCAGGCTGGAGTGCAGTGGTGCGATCTCTGCTCACTGCAACCTCCGCCTCCCGGGTTCAAGCGATTCTCCTGCCTCAGCCTTCTGAGTAGCTGGGATTACAGGCACGCACCACCACACCTGGCTAATTTTTGTATTTTTGGTAGAGACGGGGTTTCACCATGTTGGTCAGGCTGGTCTCAAACTCCTGACCTCATGATCCACCCACCTTGGCCTCCCAAAGTTCTGGGATTACAGCCGTGAGCGACCGCGCCCGGCCAGGAGGAGGGCCTTTCTATTCTGAGGTTATAAAGGACTCACCTCATGTTTTCCTCTGGTACTTTTATGGTTTTATTTATAACATGTAAAACTGGTTTATTTGGAATATATCCTAGTTTATAGAGTAAGGTAGAAATCTAATTTACCATCTTTCCAGATGGTTATCCAGTTCTCACCATGCATTTGAAGAGTTCACTTTTTTTTTTTTTTTTAACTCATTTGCTACCTTTATCATATGCTAAATTTATGTGTCTATTTCTGGGCCTTCTGTTCTGTACCATTATCATGAGTACTACACACTTTAAGTATTAAGGCTTTATAATAAGTAAGTTCTTTAGGACAAGTGCCCTTCTTCCTCAGTTTCCCCAGGTAGTCCTGCATGTTTAGTCTTCTAGGTGAACATTAAAATCTTCTAAAAAGTTTCTATTTTCATGAGAATAGTGTTGAATTTACAAATTAATTTGGAGATTACTGGCTGAATACTACCCTGAGAAGCTGTAAAGTGGCTTAATCTGGGAAGCAAGCCCTAGATTGAAATTTCATCTTGGCTGTTTTAACAGGTGCCTGACCTCGGAAAATTTATTTGCTTCTCAGTTTTTATATATATGAGAGGAGGACTTTAACGTCTGCCCTGTAGGATTAAATGAGATAAAAAGCATAAAATGCCTTCTTGGGAGTAAGCAATCCTTTCTTCACATGGTCCATTCTAGTCAACTCACAAATCCCTGAGAGGGAAGCCTCCAGGATCCTAGAGTAGATGACCAGATGCCCAGGCGCAGGATCCACGGAAGTCAAAGTCAAGCTTTCTAGGCCGACAGCTGTCCTCAGTCGCTTGGTCAGATAGTCTAATCTCAGTTTTTCAGGTGAGTTCCCTCTTGACTTTCTTCTAGAGTTTTGCGTGTGCCCTGGAGTGGACACCCTCGGAGGATGGGAGAAACTGTGTACTGCGCCAGGTCGCCTCAGGCCTGCCTTTTCCCTCCATCCTTTCCCACCCCTCCCCTCTTCCACCCACTTTCTCACACTCCTCCTCTTTTCTCTTTCCTCCCTTTTCCTCCCTCTTCATCATCCTCCCTCTTATTTTTCTTTCCCTTCACTACCCCATCTCCTGCCTGGCCCTTCTGCACTGGCAGAGTAGACCCTCAGAAACCCTGGGAGGGAGGATGGCTGGGACAGGCTGATGTCTTGAGTCCTGTCCTTGGCTGTCTCTGAGGCTCTTAAGACTCCTAATTACAGGAGTGACTCCGACTTGCTTTTCTGACAGGGCTAAATTTCCGAGAGTGGGGTGCAGGAATGGAGACCTTATTTTCTCTTGGTCCTGGATCCTCAGTTCTGCTTTGTGTTGGTTTTTGTTGTTGATATTGTTGTTTGTTCATTTTGTAGAATATCGTTCAATTGGGATTTAACTGTTTTTGTCATTATTATACTGAGGTTATATGTTCTGGGGAGGAAGACCACAGAGGTGAAGTGCCATTCTCATTATATCAAGGGTACACACTGTTAACTTATAACTGTCAAGACATAAAACAATTTGTAAGGTGGAAAAAGGCAGAGAGGGGTAATTAGTGTAATTTGAGTTGGGAGCAAAAATTTTATCAAGTTTAGACACAAAACTGGGTTTGTTCCCAAGAAAGTAGCAGCCATCCCTTTTCTTAGGAGAGGTGAGGGGTTTATTCTGTCACAGTTCCAGCAGAGACAAAGGATCCTTGTTGCTGAGATACTGTTTATCATAGCAACAACAGCTGCAGAAATAGTAGTGGCATAGCAATGAACAGAGCTTTTTTGGTCCCCGTGTCTCTCTTCCATCTCAAATAGTATGGACTTCTGTGGGCAGTAAAACATACCTGTTAATGGTGTTATTGTCATTTTTCCAAACTTCTTATCAGTTGAATTTGTTTCTGTTGCCATTTCTATTCCCATACTCCTTCATCTGCTCTATCTGCAAATCTCTTGCGTTTCTGTCTTGTTTTCCAATTTAATTAAATATGATTCGCATTTAAAAGTAGGAACTATATATTATTTTTATATTCATTTATATTCCGGATTGTATATGTATGTTTTAGATGACTTTATAGAGGATATTTTATTTATTCATTTATATTTTTTGAGACAGGATCTTGCTCTGTTGCCCAGGTTGGAGTGCAGTGGCATGATCATAGCTCACTGCAGCTTCAATCTCCCAGACTCAAGTGATCCTTCTGCCTTTGCCTCCCAAGTAGCTGGGATGATAGGCGTGTGCCATGAAGATATATTTAAATAGCCGTTTGAGTCAGATATTCATTCCAACAGTTATTTGATGTTATTGAGACATGATACAGGCTGAGTGAAAACATTTTATGTGAGTGCCATATGATTGGTTTGTCCTGGGATTACTGAATGTGTTTGAGAGCTCTAGTCTGTATCATATTATATTGCTTTAGCAACAGGGAATAAAGCACATTTCAAAGATCTGTTTATTATTTTAGGAATCAAGGCCAGAGGTGTGAACAAGGTGTCAGCTCTGAAGGGAAGGTTTTTCTAAGGATGGACCCACACCAGAAGGTCCCTAGCATATATAATGGGGATACTTTACAAACTCCTGAGTATGAAAAAGTCTCTCAGTATGAGGACCAGTTAGAAAGGCATGAGGGTAGGCACATGGAAGAAAGACGGTATAAATGCAATGAATGTGGAAAGAAGTTTGCCCAGAGCTCAGGCCTTGTTCGACATCAGAGAATCCACACTGGAGAGAAACCCTATGAGTGTGATCACTATGGAAAAGCCTTTAGCGTGCGCTCAACCCTCACTGTGCATGAAAGAATCCACACTGGTGAGAAGCCTTATACTTGTAATGAGTGTAAGAAAGCCTTCAGTGTAAGGGCACACCTGATTATACATCAGAGAATCCACAATGGAGAGAAACCCTATGAATGTAATGAGTGTGGCAAAGCATTTAGTGTGAGCTCAGACCTTATCAAACATCAGAGAATCCATACTGGTGAGAAACCTTATGAGTGTGATGAGTGTGGAAAAGCTTTCAGTGTGAGCTCAGCCCTCATCAAGCATCAGAGAATCCATACAGGAGAAAAGCCGTATGAGTATAAGGAATGTGGGAAGGCCTTCTATGTGAACTCAGCACTTATTAATCACCAGAGGATTCACTCTGGAGAAAAGCCCTATGAGTGTGGAGAGTGTGGAAAAGCATTCAGCCAGATCTCAACGCTTATTCATCACCAGAGAATCCATACTGGAGAGAAACCGTATGAGTGTGAAGAGTGTGGGAAAGCTTTCCATGGGAGTTCTAACCTTACTAAACACCAGAAAACACATGCCAAAGGAAAGTGTCATCAGTGATTTATGTGGCAAATATATTCCAAAGGGCTTTTGTTACATCGGAAGATACCATTGAAAGAAGAGTATGGTTAAAGTTAATGCCTTAATTGACACTTCACCCTTGAAATACTGAAGTGAGAAGTCACTCAAAAGTAACTCCATCAGCATTGTTTCTAAGGCTCTAAAATCACATCTACTTCTGAGAAGGTAATTTTGCAACTCATAAGGTAAAGCCATTTAAAAACCATATAGTATATAATGTAGTTTGTGTTGGCTTAGAGCAAACTAGCAATTCAAACATTTTCCTCTTATGAGCAAGACTTTTGTTGTTGTTTTCTTGCTGTTGGTGTTATAGATAAAACATTAGATTTGAAATTGGAAGCAATTGGTGAGAGAGGAAGGACATATCCTTAGTTGAATCTGGAAAATACCAACCCTTTTATCTTTCTTTGCCTTTGATGTACTGCTATGCTCTTAGGATGATTAGATGTGTGTGCGACTTCTTGGCAGAAGTTAGAGCATATCTTTAGGTAGGAATCCCAATAGATAATTTTTCAGGGTGATTCTTGCATAGTCAAAAAGCCTTAAACCTTTTGACTTACTGACTCAATAAGCCTTTGAGTTTGACTGAGGTTCCTCAACCAATGCAAACAAAACAAAGACAAAAACTTCCCAAGGAGATTTAAGTGTTTCTGACTTCTGATCCTTGCTCATAGCTGCATAGGTCACTGCTGTGTGTGGTGTCATATATGCAAAAGCTCAGAGATATAATAATGGGACACTTGGGGAATTTTCGAGGTCAGTGTTGGTTTTAGGATGACTATGTGAAGCTTGATACCTAATGTCAACCAAGAGTGCTCAGATTTGAGAGGTGAGTTTGATTTTGAAAATGTTTTTGCTGTGTCTATGGGACTCCCACTAGAGCTGTCCACCAGACCATAATCTAACTTCCTAACACTAATCCCCAAAGCCTGTATTTGCACATGTGAAACTCAGGAGAGAAATCTGGACTTTAAAATTACTTTGTTACTATTTTTCTTTTCCTCTTTTTTTCCTTTTGAAACAGGGTCTTGCTCTATCACCCAGGCTGAAGTGCAGTAGTGTGATCCCACCTCACTGCTGCCTCAGCTTCCTGGGCTCAAGTGATCCTCCCATCTCAGCCTCCCAAATAGCTGGTTTTACAGGTGTGCACCACTATGCCTGCTAATTTCTTATTTTTTGTAGAGACAAGGTCTTACTATGTTATCCAGGCTGGTCTCCATTTCCCCTGCTCAAGCGATCCTCCCGCCTTATCCTACCTAAGTGCTGGAATTATAGGCATGAGCCACCGGGTTAGGCTATTTTTCTATTTTAACAATGATTTCTCCCTCCTGAGTAATAGTCCTGAAATTTTTTATTCCTGAAATTTAATTCATGTTAGGTTCAAGATGTGCCAAATCGATAGAAATTGCAGATAGCTTTGGTGGTTCACATTTGGAATAGATTATAGAGAACACTCTCTGGGAAGGTGAAATGGTGTTCACTTCTCAGAAAGAGGCTCTGTGTTGCAAAGGGATGCACAGTTTCCGTGAATTATCCTAATCAGCACTTCAGGCAAGTCAGCTGTAAAACACACTGGACTTCATGAAGCTCTGAGCCAACTTGTGGCCAGTAGGCACTAAGGTCAGAGACACATATGGAAAAGCACATGATGAAGCCTCTGGTATTGGAGTAGTGCCTACAGCCCTGCCCAAGGCCTGGATATGGGGATTGAAGGCAAAGAAGATCATGGTTCTGGAGCTCACGTTGAGGAAATGGACCTCACTCAGGGAATGGGGCACATTAGAGAAGGTAAAACACATACTGTACTTACAGCAGAAGTGAAGGGCTTCAGGAAGTTCTCTTTGCTTTGCTGAGTTCATTTGTGAATTCTTTTGCACTGCTTCTTCCTGTCTTTGGCAATTGAAGGAGACTAGGTTTTCCTTGATTTGACCTGTCACCCCATTTCTGTGCTGTTACCTTCAATGTTTTTAGTGTTTACCTTTCTAACCCCAGCTATCTTGGTTTGTTTCTAGAATGGAGATTTACAGACAGTCATCTGGGTGGAGGACACCCTTTTGGGATCAGCACTGAAAGTGACGCCATATCCCACTCCAAACCAGCACAACTATAAATACTAAGCAGTGAGTGGTATTCTGAAGACTTTGAAGGAGGAGCTATTTCTGAAAATAAATTTATTTTGTTGAAGAATTTAACCATTAAGCGATCAGGATATGTGTACTGTGGTTATTACTTTTGAGCTCAAAGTAAGGTATTAGTGATTATTTGTTTTAGGTTGGGTCTTGTGCCGGGTGCTAGGAATACAAAAATAAGTGAAAAAAGCACCCTAATCTCGAGGCTCGCAGACTATTTGGTGACAGGGAGAAGAGAGTAGATAGAAAACAACAAATACTGTGATAAAGCCGCTGGATTTGTAGAGTACTTTGCATTGAAGAGGGTTTAACAATGACTCACGAAAACAATTGAAAAGGCTTTGGAGGAGGACGAAAGCTTGGAGGAAAAGAATGAGTTCTTGAGCCACATGATACAGAAGAATGAGGGAAGGTACAGTGAGAATAGCATGTGAAAAAGCACAGTGCATCTGGGGGTAAAGAAGGAAGTTTTCACGGACCTTGATTATATTTCAAGAATCATAGAATATGCATGTGAAAGTAGTATATTATGACCAGACCAGACATTCTTTGTTCTACTAAGAAGTATGAAACATATTCTTTAGGCCAGTGTTTCTTCAAACATTTTGTGCAGTAAGAAACCCATTTTATGTTGTAACTCGGTGTACCATTTTTGGGAGAGACCATCCTCCTTGGCCTTGCACTCCTACATGTCTTGCTGGGTGTGCCAACATTGCAAGGGCATGGCAGCTCTTACTCAGGCCACTTTTTATTGTCATGGAGCTAGTAACCTTGAAAGATGAGGTGACATCTCTTGGACTAAGAGTAGGTTAGCTTGCTTGCTTACTTATTACTGTTTGGTATTCTTTTGGAAAGTTCCTGTTCAATTTTTTTACATGTTTATAGGAATTATTTACATATTCTGGATATGAGCTCTTTTCATAGAGGATGCAAATATTATCTCCATCTTTATAGCTTGCCTTTTATTCTCTTAATGATGTCTTTTGATGAATATACATTTTTAATTTTAATATAGTCCTATTTATCAATCTTTTTCTTTCATGTGTTTCTTGTTTTGTGTCTTTTGAATAATTCTTTCTCTCCCTTAAGATCATGAAGATAATCTCTACCATTTTAAAAAGTTTTCTAATTTGCTTTATCATTTATATCTGTAATCCATTTGAAATTTATTTTTCTGCCTGAGTGAGGTAAAGTCTAATTTCATTCTTTTCCATATGGATATTCTTTTCATCCTTCATCACTTATGGGAATGCCTGTCATTTCCCACTGTTCTACAGTGCCAATTTGTCATTAATTAATTTTCCAAAAATGCATGGATCTGTTTCTAGTTTCTCTGTTATGTTCCATTGCTTTATTTGGCTCTCCCTTCATCAATACCAGATTTTCCTAATTATCGTAGCTTTACATTGTTCTGGTATCCAGTGGAGCAAATCATCCTACTTGAAGAGTCAGACTCCATGCCAAATTTCTATGTGTCATTTTTCAGGCCCAACCATAGGCAGTTACAAAGGCCGTACACCTCATGAAGGAAAGCTACCCTCCCCATGCCAGACTTGGGGCACAGCCAATGCATTGCAGTCTCTGAAGAAAGTTGCAGTCAAGGACCCAGACCCCCGGCCCAGCCATGCTCTTAGGCATATCTGCATTCCTAGTCCAAGCACCTCTGTTTAGAGGTCTCTTTATTGGTGGCCTCCTCTAAACAATTCTGAGACCATTTTACTGGGATCAGGAACCTTGATGCCACTTGTCTTCACTTTCAGTATTTAGTACTTTTCCACTCCTAGCACTTTTCCCTCTTTCCCCTCCCAGCCCTTAGGCCCATAAAATGGCTGGAGCCTTTTATTTAGGTTTCTCATAGTAGCGAGATGATCCCCATATCTTTGCTGATTGTTTTGACACTTGTTTGACTCTGTTCCATGGGTAAGAATGTAACACTGCAGGAGCCAGCAGTTTTTCCTGCTGAGCCTCTTGCTAATGCTACTGCTGATCTAAGGCTTGACTGATACCTTATCATTTTGGCATGTTTTAACTGACCACCACGACACCTGGCAGCTCAGTTCTTTCTGCATCAGCTTAGTTCTTAACACCACCTTCTTCTCCTACTTCATAAGTGTCTTGGCTGTTCCTGGTTCTTTGCATTTACATATAAATTTTAGGATCAGCTGTCAAATTTGACCCACTCCCTTCTAAAAAATTATTGGGATTTTGATTGAGAGTGTATTGAATCTATAGATTATTGGGGAGAATCAACATTCTTACATGAATTTTCTAATTCATGAACATGGTATAGCATTCCATTTCTTTAGGGTCTTAATTTTTCCCAATAATATTTTATGGTTTTCTGTGTCGGTCTTGATCATCTTTATTAGATTTATTTCTAGACATCTGACATTTCTTCCATGTAATTGTTAGTAGTGTCATTTTTAAAAATTTACTTTCTGTTTACAGAGACTTAGCATTGATTTTTATATATTGACTTTGTAGCCAGCATTCTAATAACATATAGATATTTTAGGTCTTTACATATACCATTCGCAAATGATGACAGTTGTATTTCTTCCTTTCAAATCTTTATACTTTTTTTCCCTCTTATTACATTAGTATGACATCTACTACCATGATAAAAAGAAGTGGTAATAGCTGGCATCTTTGTCTGGAAGGCCTGCTGTGACCTTAACTGTAGGTTCCTTTCTCCAGTGACTCATCTTGAGATTACCCTTCTCTCATACCTCCAACATTTTTGAGACTTGGATATTCCAAGCCTGTGCTAACCATTCACTTCTTTGGCTACACTCAGCAGAAGAGAAATAGAAAGCTGCCAACCTCTTAGACTCAAACGAAATCATTTTCCCATTTGTTACCCTCAGAAATTGGCTCTTTCCATCCACAGGTTCCACATCCATGGATTCAACCAACTGTGTATTGTCAGTATTCAAAAAAATAATAAAGTAAAAATAAACAAACAAATAAATAAATAAAAGTTATCTTGATCCTGATCTTCAGAACCTGCCTTGCCTGAAAATTTAACATTTTTCACACTACCTATGTGCGAGCCAACCAGCACTAGCTGAGAAGGGTTTCACATTTTCTTGACTCTGTTTAACTTGCATAAAAACAAGACTTTAGAACAAGTCTTACTTGGTGGTTGCACAGTTCATTAATACATTTTAGGTTGAACTCCATTGATAGCTGATTTCTAAAATAATAGAACATTTTTAAAATACAGTATAACAACTATTTGCATAGCATTTTCATTAAATTAGGTATGATCAGTAAGCTTGAGATGATTTAAAAGTATATAGGAGGATGTGTGTAGTTATATGCAAATACCATGCTGTTTTATGTAAGGGACCTGTGCATGCTGAGGTGTCCTGGAACCAGTCCCCAACAGATACCGAGGAACAACTATATACAGTCAGTTTGCATTACTTATAGTTAGTTGGGTCCTATAATGTTGCCGCAAACACTGAATTAGTGAATACTGAACTGTTGTTCCTAGAGTTAATGGGGGGGTTAAATTCCTGTGAGCCTGTAGTCATAATATTTTCATCAATCCATATGTCATTTGCATTGTAAACATTCGTTCGCCAGCATCCTAGTAAAACAAGCCAGTCCCATCAGGGTTTGAAAGCAGCTCTTCCTTGGCTGAGCAGGTGGCTCACACCTGTAATCCCAGCACATTGGGAGGACAGGGCAGGAGGATCACAAGCCCAGAAGTTTCAGACCACCCTAGGCAACATAACAAGACCCTATCTCTAAAAATAAAAAATAAAAATAAATAAGGAAAGCAGCTCTTCCACATAACCCTTTTCTGTATAATACTACACAGATGTTTTAAGAATATTCCATAGCCTTCTAATCTTTAGAACCTGTCTTGCCTGAAACTTTAACATTTTCCACACTATCAACGTGGGAGCCAGCCAGCACTAACTTAGAAGGGTTTCACATGTTCTTGGGTTTTTTTCTTTAATTAGTTGTCATCTCATGAATACTCAATTTTTTTTTTTTTTTTTTTTTTTGAGATGGAGTTTCACTCTTGTTGCCCAGGCTAGAGTGCAATGGCGCAATATTGGCTCACTGCAACCTCTGCCTCCCTGGTTCAAGCGATTCTCCTGCCTCAGCCTCCCAAGTAGCTGGGATTACAGGCATGCACCACCATGCCCGGCTTTTTCTTAGCTTCATCCCACACTGTAGATGTTGCTTTTTAGCACTTTCCCTAGTGACCTCATGTACAGATGACCAAATTTTCTCTTCCTTTTTCTGGATGTACCGAATTGTTGAATCATTAACATTGTATTTATAGCCAACAGCACTATCACTCATGCATGAATTAAGCTTATCTAACACACCTATTTTCTCTGTAAGGCACATGACAGTCTTCTTGCACTTAGGAACACTAGAAGCACTTCACCACTATATTTGGGTACCATTTTAAACAGAAAAATTACCCCCAAAAAGCACACAAAAAGGGGCACTAGTGATGCCCCTAAAGGAAACTTGTTGATGATAGCTAAAACAAGAAGGCAGAGTGTCCCCTTGTTTGAACTCTTCAGATGGTATTAGTTTCATAGGGTTGCCATAATAGATTACCACAAACTTGGTGGCATGAAACAACGGAAATTTATTTTCACACTGCTCTGGAGTCCAAATTCAGTTGTTGGCAGGGCTGCACTCCATCTGAAAGCTCTAGGGTACTTCCTGGCCTCTTCCAGATTCTAGGAATCCTAGGCTTGTAGCCACATCACTCAAATCTCAGCCTTTGTATTCACACCAGCTTTTGTCTCCTCTCTGTCTTCTCCTTTCCTATCTCTTATAGGGATCCTTGTCACAGGATTTAGGGCCCACCTGGATATTCCAGGCTGATCTCATCTTGAGATCATAAACTTAGTAATTACCTGCCAAGACCCTTTTTTCAAATAAGGTAACATTCACAGATTCCAGGGGTTAGGACATAGACATAACTTTTTGGGGGCCACCACCCAACCTACTGCAGATGATAAATTTTTCTCAGAAATAATTGATTAATACACTTGAGCACTGAAGTTGAAGTTTTCTGGCAATTAGCAAAAGGGAAAATATGTTGTTTTATATTGTTTTTTATTTGCCTAACAAAAGAAAGCAACTATCTTTGACTGCAGAGGTGAACTTTTTCCTGGAACTAAATTCAAGTAAACATATTGCTTGAATCCCTATGTAAAATATATTAAATAATAGATATTGTCTTCAACTATAGTTTTAAAAAGAGAAAAAATGGGTCATAGTGAACCCTAAAACAATCCCACAAAATCTTGTGTTCTATTAAATTACAACACACCTACAATATACAAATCATAAGCATATAATTTTATCACTTAAACTAAGTGAACACACTTGTGTAGCCCACACCCAGGTCAAGAAATAATATTTTCAGCCTTCCAGAAGCCTTTATCCCCATGATTCCTTGTAACACCATGATGAGTTACGCGTGTTTTTGAACTTTGTGTATACCATGTAACTCTTTTGTGGCTGGCTTGTTTCTTTTGACATTGTGAGGTGGATCCATGCTATTGAATATAGTTTTAGTTCATTCTCCCATGAAAATTTTAACTTATTGAAGCATTTCTACATGATGCTAAGAGAGTATGTTCAGGGATTTGCTTTATATAATCTTGCTTTTGATAATCAAAAGGGTTCGACTTCAAGAATCTAAATGGATGGAAAGTTAAATGATTATTGAGTAGTGTCTCTCAGATTTCACATACATTAAGCAAGTATTGGCTTAAGATTCATGATTGAATTCTGTGACAAGTATCTGTGATCACATAGTCTTTATAGCTACCTCAGATTCTTTTTGTGATGGTTTAGGGGATGGATGTGTGAATAGATAGCTAAACTTTATTCTTGCCCAGCTATAAAGCCAACCCACTTCAGCATGAGCATGAGTAGTAGAGGAATTTCTGAGTAAAGACAATTTGTTCTTCAGGAAAAAACTCTGGATCTTCTACATCACAGTTTGGGTGCTTAGTTGGGATTCCAGACTTCTTTATCAAAAAGTAGGAAAGCTTCAGCCTGGAAGATGTTTAGAACAAGTTGCACAGTTCATTAAAACGTTTTAGGTTGAGCTCTATTGATGTCTGATTTCTAAACAAACATATTTCCATTTCTGTAACTACTCCCAATCTTCCCCTTCTTTCACCTCCCATAGCACATTGTTTCTTTCTTGGAACATTCATCTTCTCTTTTGCTTTGTTTGTTTTTTTATTTTGAGCCAGTTTCTCACTCTGTTGCTTAGTCTGGGATGCAGTGGCACAATGTCAACTCAAGGCAACTTCCAGTTCCCAGTTTCAAGAAATTCTCATGCTTTAGCCTCCTAAGTAGCTGGGACTATAGGCATGCGCCACCATGCCCAGCTCATTTTTGTACTTTTAGTAGAGATGAGGTTTCACCATGTTGCCCGGGCTGGTCTCAAACTCCCGAGCTCAGCTAATCCACCTTCCATGGCCTGCCAAAGTGCTAGGATTACAGGCGTGAGCCACTGCACCCGGCCCTGTTTTACTTTGTATCTGTCTCTCTTGTCCTGCTCCTTTGATTGTGAGTTTTTTGACTGCAGGGATTATTATTATTCTTTGTGGATTCTTTGCAGCCCTGAGTATGGCTTGAGATTGTACAAGTCATCTTGGGCTAATTAGCAAAGCCTCAAAGTGCTGTGACAGCCTTATTAAACATCAGAGAATCTGCACTGGAGAAAAACCCTGTTGGTCTGAAGAAGATAGTAAAAGGTTCATTATGGTTCAGCTCTGGTCACCCACCAGAGAATCCACACTGGAGAGCAGCACCATTATGAACGTAGTGTGTGAGGGAAGGCCTTTATTTGGAAGCTAGCACTTACCAATCATCAGAATACCCATGCTGGAGAGAAAATTTATAAATGTAAAAATGTAAAAAAGCTCAATCTTATACATCAGAAAATCCACACTGGAACAAAACTGTATGCATATGACCATAGGGAAGCTAACAGTGTTAGCTCATTGCTTAAAGGGCATCAAGATTCCCGCATGGGGAAAAGCTCTTTGTAAATTATGTGGGAAAACCTTCAGTCAAAGTTCAGATCTTATCCAGCATCAGAGTCCACACTAGATAGAAGCTTTATGACTTGGACAAATGTAAGAAAACATTTTGATGAACTCATCCTTTACTAAGCAACAAAGGATACACAACAAAAATGAACCTCAATAATCAAATATGTGGTAGAGAGATAGTAGAGGAATTTTTCAATGTCATCTGTCATGATTAAGGAAAAGACCATTAAATAGAAGAGGTGACAGTAAAAAAAAAAAAAAAAAAAAAAAAAAAAGACCAAGTGCATATAATCACTTTAACTGACATTATTTTATGGAATTAAAGACAAGTGTTATTAGAAAAAGATTAGCATGTCACTTCATGGGCAGAGTTGAGGAATTAATCTTCTGTGACCAATCTCTACGGATATTTAACTGTCTTTGATACGATTAACTTTTTATTTTCTGTAGTAGAGGTAGAGAGTAGAGGTAAGTCTTTATAATCACGTAACTATAAACTGGATAATCCAAACATTATTGACTATATTGTTATTTGTTTGGAATTCATAATGCTCATTAAAATTTTTCTAAGAATGATTTTGACATTTATTCCTGGGACCCAATAAGTGTATCACTTCTTCCAGACTTACTCCCTTTTATTTTTTATGATGCTAGTCTCAGAAATGCTGCAAATAAATATGTGTGTTTTGGCAAATCATTTCCCAAAATTTCCTGTCCCTTTGTTAAAAAAAAAAAGATGTAGAAATGTGCATAGACTGTATGAACCTGCAATATGATGAACAGACCTTATTGCCTTGTTCATCTTTGTGTCTCTAATATACAGAATAATGACTGATACAGAAAAGGCCCTCAAAACATGCTTGTTGAATGACTACTCCCAGGGTTCTGTTTATGGGTTGGTCTCAATCCGGCCTACAGAGGGGCCTCTAATTAAGTTTGCCATAGGATTCTGCCCTCTTCCCAGACCTGATCAATGAATAACTTCGGGTACTCGGTGTGGACTGATTATGAACTCACTTCATGGCACATCAGAGTCATTGGTCTGTGTGAGGCCTTGCTTTCATTCTTACACACTTTTTCTCCTTTACTTTTATCCCAATCCTGTTTCTCCCATCCTTAAATACTTGATTTACAAAACTGGTCTTGTGTTAATATGACTCATTTTATACCATTCTGCTTTTTGAGTTTTATTCATATTAATATATGAAAGTCTAGTTCACCCCTTTAACTGCTGTACAATGCTTAGTCATTGATTCATTCCTCAAATGAAGGTCATTTTAAACAACTCTTTATAATAAACAGTCTTGCTGTGAACACTTTTGGGAGTGTTTTTCTGGAGAACATACCCAGGAGTCAATTGCTGGGTCACAAGTATGCACAGTGTCAATATCACTAGCAAGTAATGGTTTCTGTTCTTTGTGAACTGAGAGACCTCTCTGGCATCTTAGCCTGATCATGATAGCCCCTTTTCTGCATGAATTTCTGAAAGCAACTGACAACTAAACCAGACAGGCACATTCTCATCTGCTGGCAGTCTGGAGTGAGGTGAATCTCCAACATAAGAATGAGAAAACCTTAACCTCAGAAATAATGCCTGACTTTTCAGGGTCTGGTGATGCAAATTGATTATACTACTTAAACTACAATGTAACCTAAGAAGGCACATATCAGACTATGCTATGAGCGAAGGGAAAATTAAATATTTTTGCTTTTTACCTAAGAACATCATCTCAAAAAGGGAGTACAGCCATTGCAAAGGTGCTGACATTGGAGAAACAGCAAGGCCAGTGAGACAGTAGTAGGAAATGAGGTCAGAGAGACAGGGGAGAGGGCCTGTAGAAACAGACTTGTAAGCAGGCCGGGCGTGGTGGCTCACGCTTGTAATCTCAGCACTTTGGGAGGCCGAGGCGAGCAGATCACTAGAGGTCAGGAGTTTGAGATCAGCTGGCCAACATGGCAAAACCCTGTCTCTACTAAAAATACAAAAATAAGCCAGGTATGGTGGTGCATGTCTGTAGTCCCAGCTACTCAGGAGGCTGAGGCAAGAGAATCACTTGAACCAGGAGGTGGAGGTTGCAATGAGACGAGATAATGCCATTGCACTCCAGCCTGGGTGACAGAGTGAGACTCTGCCTGAAAAAAAAAGAAAAAGAAAAAAGAAAAGAAACAGACTTGTAAGCCAGTTTATGGACTTTTGAGTTTTATCCAGAGTGAAATTGAAAGTTATTACAGGATTTTAAGGAAAGATATGACATGTCAGTTTTTAAAAAGTCAAAACTTACAATAGACTATACGGGGCCAGGGTAAGAGCTGGAGAACAGTTAGGAGCTATTTAGGCTTTCTTTAGTTTTTATTTGCATTAATGAATTAAAGCTAATCCAGACAGGAAATGAGAATGGCTTAGATAAAGGTAGCAGAGGTGGTAAGATGTGATCAGATTCTAGATATGCATTGAAGGCAGTGCCAAGATTTTGCTTATGGATTAGATGTAGAGCTACAGAGAACGAGAAGAGGCAAAAATGTCTCTTAAGGCCCAGCATGGTAGCTCATGCCTGTAATCCCAGCACCTTTGAAGGCTGAGGCAGGCAGATAGCTTGAGCTCCGGAGTTCAAGACCAGCCTGGGCAACATGGTGAAACCCCGTCTCTACAAAGAACAACAACAACAAAAAAAATTAGGTGTGGTGGCATGCACCTATAGTCCCAGCTCCTCACAAGGCTGAGAGGAGAGGATCACCTGAGCCCAGGGAGGTCAAGGCTACAGCAAGCCGTGATCTGGTGACTGTACTCCAGCCTGGGTGACAGAGCAAGACTCTGTCTCAAAATTATTTTATTTTGACTCATTTTATTTTTATTTAGACTCAATGTTTTGGCACTAAGCAACTGAAAGAATGAAAGAATGGAGTTACTTTAACAGTGATGGGAGAATGCAATTGGAGCAGGGATTTTTTGTTTTTGTTTTTTATTTTTATTGAACATGTAAAGTCTGGGATACCTGTTAGTACCTCACACAAAGTTTGGCATTTAAGAAAGAGGAAGGGGCATTCTTGAGACAGCTTCTGCCCCTCAGTCCAGAAGCATTCCCCAGCCACACCTGTCAGTCTCAGTGAAAGTTTTAATTATAGGCAATCCCCTTTTCTCTTAACCCCAGACACTGCTAAAAACCAAGAGTTTAAGAAAGCAGTATTTTCTCAACTGGATTTTTATTTTTTATTTTTTTAAAGACAAGGTCTCTCTCACCTAGGCTGTAGTGCAGTGATGCGATCTCAGCTCATTGCAGCCTTGACCTCCCAACTCAAACCATCCTCCAGCCTCAGCCTTCTGAATAGGACAACAGGCGCACACCACCATGCCTGGCTAATTTTTGTATTTTTTGTAGAGACGGGGTTTTGCCATGTTGCCCAGACTGGTCTCGGACTCCTGAGCTCAAGCTGTCCTCCCACCTTGGCCTCCCAAGGTGATTACAGGCAATTGCAGGCTGGGATTATAGGCATGAGCCACCGTACCTGGCCCTCACTTGGACTTTTTAAAGGATTTAGGCTTAAAAAGCTGAAGGACATCCTGAAATTATCTGGTCTAAAATTAGAGAATTTTTTCAATTACTCCAGGTCCCTCAGAAAGTTATGGAATGTTAATTCTAGCCTCTAAATCTATAGTTTCTCAGGAAGAATTGCTGATAGTGTATTCTTTTTTAAAGAACTTTTAATCAAATGAGTTAAGTGTAAATGTTTCCTTAAGTTAGAATATCAAAATAATTCATAGGAATTGGAGCTGAAATCACTTTTCTAATTATATCTACCCTGCAAAAACATATGACCAGAATTCTGATTCTGATAATAGCAGACAAGGTACTATGAACGAACTCTTCTACTGAGGAGAAGTGGAAAAGCTGGGAAGAATGCTTTAAAAAAATATATACTTAATGGCATTAGAGAACTAATTAGAGTCAAAGATCTAGATTAGAAGAGCATGGAGATAGACAGAGATGAGCCCTGTCTTTGGGGCCATTGTCTTCTAGGTATCTTCTGATTCTAGGAGGGGCACCTGAGAAAGTGAGTCAAATATTTGATAAGTTCACAAAAGAAAAATACACCAAAGTTGGATTCTGGGAACTTCCAAGTTGGGGCTTGGGGAAGGATGGGACTGATTAATTTCCTCACTGATGATGTGTGACCCCAAAGGATTGCACTCTATGAGTAAGGGTGAACCAGACAGGCAGGGCTTCCCAGGACTGTAGCTCAGCTTTGAATATTCTTTTGTGGTTGGATTTAAGTGATTCCATAATGCTATAGCTTTCTGGAAATCCTCTCTATGAGGGAATAGTATCATAGCTCTCAAATTATTTCTCAAACAATTTTGCAAAAAATTTTAAAAGCTAGGCATATGAGAAGACAAAATGGCACAAAGGAAAACCCAACAGAAGCAACAAATAATAGAAATACATTGAAGAGGAATACAGAATTGGAGTTATCATACAAGATTTTTAAATAACTGTGTATACAGTGTTCAAATATAAGTGACAGGATTAAGAAGTTTAACAGGCCGGGCGTGGTGGCTCACACCAGTAATTCCAGCACTTTGGGAGGCCAAGGTGGGCGGATCACGAGGTCAGGAGATTGAGACCATCCTGACCAACATGGTGAAACCTTGTCTCTACTAAAATACAAAAAATCAGCGGGGCATGGTGGCGTGCACCTGTAGTCCCAGCTACTCGGGAGGCTGAGGCAGGGGAATCGCTTGAACCCGGGAGGCGGAGGTCGTGCCACTGCACTCCAGCCTAGTGACAGAGCGAGACTCCGTCTCAAAAAAAAAAAGTTTAACAAAATGCTGGTGGGGGAACGGGGGAACGTGGTTGGGGGTGGACAATGAACCAAATGAAAATCCTGAAATTGGAAAACAACTGAAATAGTAGTGGATGGATATAGCAGCAGATGAAACAGCTGAAGACAATAGTTTAGAAAAAAATATCCAGAATGAGGCACAAGAGGACAAAAAATTGGCTACATAGGAAAAGGGTAAGACACAGAGAATATAGATCCAAAATATTTGTCATTAGGATTGCAGGAGAAATGAGAGGAAATGAGGCAGACACAATATTTGAAGACAGAATAGGTGAGAACTTCCTAAGATTTATGAAGGGTATCAAGCACAGATTCAGGGACCATAAGAACCATATGAACCCTAAATAAGATAAATGAAAAAAATCATTTAGATACATCATAGTAAAACTACTAAAAATTAAAGACAGAAATATCTTTTTTTTTTTTTATTTGAGACAGGGTCTTGCTCTGTCGCCCAGGCTGGAGTGCAGTGGTGCAATCTCTGCACCCTTTACCTCCCAGGCTCAAGCAATTCTCTCCTCGGCCTCTTGAGTAGCTGGGACTATGGGTGCACACCACCATGCTTGGCTAATTTTTGTATTTTTTGTAAAGACAGCATTTTGCCATGTTGGCCAGGCTGGTCTTGAACTCCTGAGCTCAAGCAATTTGCCCATCTCGGCCTCCCAAAGTGCTGGGATTACAGATGTGAGCCACTGCACCCAGCAGAAGTATCTTAAAAGCAAGAAAAAAAGTACCTTAAAAGGAGCAACAATTAGATTGGCAGCTAAGTAAAAAAAGTCAGTGCCAAAAGACACTGAAATTTGTGGAAAGTAACTGCCAACACAGAGTTCTGTACTGAGCAAAACATTTTGTTTAAGAACAAAAGTAAAGACATTTTCAGATAAATAGAAGCTGAGAGAAGTCATCATCTATATGTCCTCAAAACACTCAAGACAAGGCTGGAAACAGTACATATTCCCACCAGCAAGATGGAAGAATCTCCTAATTCACAAAGCACTAGGTAAAGTACTTGGAAGGGGTCTGCCTCAACAGTGAGTAATAGGTAGCTGTATTAGTTTCCTACTGCTGCTATAACAGATGACCACAAACTGTCACTTAACACAAATGTATTATCATACAGTCCTGGAAATCAGAAATCCAAAATGAGTATTACTGGGCTAAAATCTTTTTTATTCAGAGCAGAAGAACTTGAGAGGTAAAATCAAGATGTCAGCAGAGATGCATTCGTTTAGGGGACTTAATGAGGAGAGTCTGGTTTATTGTCTTTTCCAGGTTCTGGAGGTTGTTCACATCCCTTGGCCCTATTTCTCCATCTTCAAAGCCAACACTGAGTTGAGTCTTTCTCACGTCATATCATTCCAAGCTCTCTTTGGACTCCCCCTTCTACTTTTAAGGATACCTGTAATTACACTGGGCCTACACAGATAATACAGGATAATCTCCCTATTTTAAGGTCAGGTGATAGGGAACCTTAAACTTCCCTCTTGCCACATAACATCATATTCACAGATCCTAGATATTAGGACATAGACATCTTTGGGTGGGTGAGGAAATTTCTGCCTACTACATTTCCTAGGCTAAAAATGTGGTTTCTGGTGAGGGTTGCCTTCTTGCTGTATACTCACATGACAAAAAGAGTGAGAAAGCTCCAGCCAGGCGCAGTGGCTCACGCCTGTAATCCCATCACTTTGGGAGGCCGAGGCAGGCAGATCACGAGGTCAGGAGATCGAGACCATCCTGGCTAACACAGTGAAACTCCGTCTCTACTAAAAATACAAAAAATCAGCCGGGCGTGGTGGCAGGCGCCTGTAGTCCCAGCTACTCGGGAGGCTGAGGCAGGAGAATGGCATGAACCCAGGAGGTGGAGCTTGCAGTGAGCCGAGATTGCGCCACTGCACTCTAGCCTGAGCGACAGAGAGAGACTCTGTCTCAAAAAAAAAAAAAAAAAAAAAAAAAGAAAAGAAAAAGAAAAACAGTGAGAAAGCTTTTAGGTGTCTCTTAATGTAAGGGTACTAATCCCATTATAAGTGCCCCACCATCATGACCTCATCTAACCCTAGTTACCTCCCAAAGGCCCCATCCCCAAATGCCACCCCAATGGAGGTTAGGGCTTCAATATGTGAATAGGAGCAGGGGACAAAAACATACAGTCCATAATAGCATGTAATGGAAATACCATAAGGAGAAGAGAAAAAGGAACAGAAGAAATATTTGAAGCAATAATGACTGAATTTTTTCCAAAGTTAATCATAAACACTAAGCTACAGATCTAGGAAGCCCAAGAGAATATGAAGCAGAATAAACAAAACATCTACACCTAGGCATATAATATTCAAACTGCAGAAAACCAAAGAAACAAAATCTTAAGCTAGAGGAAAATTTACTTTGCCTATATAGGAGCCAGAATAAGAATTACATTGGCCTTCTCTTCAGAAAGCATGCAAGCAAGAAGAGCAGAGTGAAATATTTAACATGTTGAAAAAAACTCACTAACCTAGAATTCTATATTCAGCAAAATTATCCCGCAAAAGTGAAGGAAAAAACAACAGATTTCCTCAGACAAAAAGTGGGAGAATTTGTCACCCATACACATCATTTGCAAAAAATGTTAGAAGTTCTTCAGAAAGGAGAATAATGATATAGGTCAGAAACTGTGATATGCATTAAAAAAAAAAAAAGCCAGCTGGGCACGGTGGCTCAGGCCTGTAATCCCAGCACTTTGGGAGGCCAAGGCAGGTGGATCACCTGAGGTCGGGAGTTCGAGAGCAGCCTGACCAAAATGGAGAAACCCCATCTCTTAATACAAAATTTGCCAGGCGTAGTGGTGCCTGCCTGTAATCCCAGCACGTTGGGAGGCCGAGGTGGGCAGACCACCAGGTCAGGAGATCAAGACCATCCTGGTTAGCACAGTGAAACCCTGTCTCTACTAAAAATACAAAAATTAGGCGGGTGTGGTGGCAGGCGCCTGTAGTCCCAGCTGCTCAGGAGGCTGAGGCAGGAGAATGGCGTGAACCCAGGAGGCGGAGCTTGCAGTGAGCCGAGATTGCACCACTGCACTCCAGCCTGGGCGACAGAGCGAGACTCCGTCCAAAAAAAATAAAAATAAAGAAAATAAAGCATTATATTCTACCACCCAGAGATTATGATTGATGACTTTTATATCTGTACATCTTTTTCCATGTTTATATGTGTGTGTGTGGATATATGCATACACACATATACCTTTTACAAAAATGAGATCATATTATATGTGGTATTTTATAACCGATTCTCTTCAGTTTATCATCTTCTCCTTTCCCCGTCAATACATTTTAATGTTGCCTAAATCCAGCCCAAATTCAAATTGGCCCAGTTTTTCCATAATGTCTTTAAAGTTGATTTACCCAAACTAGAGCCACACGATACATAATGGTTGTTATGTCTCTTAATTTTTTATTCTAGAGCAGTCCTCCTGTCTTTTTCCCCCCATAAAATAGTCTTTTTGATGAGTCCAGGCTAGTTGTCTTACCCTCTGAAATTTTCTGTTTGTTTCTTCATTATGTCACTTCCTTTCATACCCACATTCCCTATATTTCCTATAAATTACAAGTTAGATCAAAAGGCTTGAAGGATTCAAGTTAAACATTTGGGGATAGAATTCATATTAGGTGACAGGAGACACTGATATCTGGGTGACCCACCATTAAATCACTTTCTTAGTATGATGAGAGTCCGATCCCTCCATTGAACAGCTGATTTTTCCCCTTGTTACTAAGTTTGTGGTGTCATTTGGCACTATGTGAATGGCCAGTTTCTCATCAACAAAATACATAATGTTTGATAATCTTTTTATGGGTCAATCATTTTATCAAGGGTGACAGAATGATTTTATAATTATTCCATTCCTTATACATTATTAACTGACATTTTTATTTATAGTAGAGCTTTCCCTTATCAAATATGTCATTTTGGTCACTTCCTACTAGGAAGTTATGATTAGTACTTAGTTTTTTTCCCTTTATTTACCGATTTTTAAGTCCAAGGAGTGGTTTAATAGGCACTTCAAATTGTGACATGAGATTTTAGGACTTTCTCTATGTTAGTATTGTAATAGACTTACAGATTTTCATAGAATCAGTGTTTTAATCCTCCATAGTCATTACTTTTTTTAATGCCCAAATTGACACATCTTTGGCTTGTGTAGACATCTTCAGTCTTGTGTTCACATCTGTTTGCCATGGCCCTATTGATTTTTGAATGCTTACTTTCTGAGCAAAATTAATTGTTCCAGGCTTACTTTGTACCTCCCCTGTTCTCAGATCTGGTCTCAAGCATTTCTGAAGGAGCCTTGGTTCTTTTTAATGGAGACTAGTATTGGAGAACAAAATCTGGGTGCTAGGGGTGTCCTTTATCACTAGGGTAACACTGCTTCTAGGACATTTCCTGGACAGAGCTCAATGGACATTTCTTTTCTAAAAATTCATGAGTTCCTATTGATGTATTGAATTCAGTTTTAACATGATAGTGTTTCATTTTTAGTATTTAATTTGTTTCTGAATTTATTTTTGTTAATTCCTTCCATGTGTTCTCCTTTGGTTCATTTATTTATTTACATATTTTAAGTTGTAGTAGATTGTATCAGAAGTGATTCCAGGAAGCACAAGGAGGGATTACTGAAACAGGAAAGGGAAAAAAAGCCAACAAAGTATGCATTAATGAGCAGGTCTATCTTGGTTTATTCTATTGTGTTTTTTTCCAAACTTGTAAGCTGGGTTGGTTTTATTCTCCCTCTGTTTCCACTCTCCCTCTATTACTGATATATATGGTGCTATGAATATTTCCTTGAACACTGATTTAGATGAATCTCAAATGTTTTAAATGTAGTATTTTTATTATTTTCTAGAAAATCTGAAATTTATATTTGTATTTTGCTTTTGAACCAGTAATTGGGTGAAAATTTTGAAGTTTTCAGATGGAAGAACTTGTTTGTTTTCTGATTGTGTTATTAATTTTAGATTCGTTACATTGTTATCTGAGAATATTTATGTTCTTTGTACCTTTTAGAATTTATTGTGATTTTTTTGTGGCCAAATAAGTAATCAGTTTTCATTAATGTTCACTGTATACCTGAAAAAGATAATTCTCTATTTTTAGGGTATAGAGTTTGACATATGTAAATATCCATAAGATTTAATTTATTGATTTCATTCATTTTTGTTCATTTGGTGGTTTTTTTAGGCAGAGGTCAAAGTCTCTGTTTTTTTCTAAAAATTTTTATATCTCCTATAATTTTTGCTTTAAGAAAGTTACTCCTGTTATTTTCTGCATAATTATTCATATCTGTTCTATCATTATTTAAACTGTATTCTTTAACATTATAAAGTACTCTTCTTTATCTGACTTTATGCTTTGGTCTTTTTCTGAAATTGAGATTTTGATGAATTCTTTCTTTTTATTTGTATTTGCTTAATTTACTCTTGTTCATTCTTTATTTGCAACTTTTCTCAATCATTTTATTTTAGTTATAACTCTTATATACATAATAAAATTGAGTTTTGTTCTGATCAAATCTAATTTGATCTAATAGGTAGGTTAAGCCTATTTGCATTTATTGATATGACAGCTATGTTTGATCTTAATATAATTTTCTTCTGCTTTCTGTTTACATGTCATACATATGCAAATACATAAACATAAGTATAAATGTATACACACACACAGAGATATGTATTGTGTGTATGTATATATGCATATACATATATATGCTTTTCAAAGTGTGGTTTGTTTTTCCTCATTTTTAAAAAATTATAGTTCTTATAGTTAGGAAACTTTGCATTTGTATACTAGTGGTGTATTAGTTATTTGTTGCTGCTTAACAAATTACCACAAAGTTAGCAGCTTAAGAAGACACACATTTATTATCCACAATATCTGTGGGTCAAGAGTCTGGGTATGGCTTAGCTGGGTCTTTTGCTTCAAGGTTTTTTATGAGATGTTGGCTAGGGCTGGCATCTCATCTGTTACAAGGGAAGGATCCACTTCCAACCACACATGGGTGTTGGCAGGACCCAGTTTCTTGAAGGCTCTCAGACAGAGGGCCTCACTCTCCTGCTAACTGCCAGCCAGAGGTTACCCTGAGTTCCTTACAACATGGGTTTCTCCATATAGTGGCTGTCTACATCAAAGTCAGTAAGGGAGGATGTCAATGGAAAGAGTTTACTAGCAAGATAGAACTTGGAATCTTCTATAATCACAGAAGAGACATCCTGTCAAATTTACCATATTCTGCTGGTAACTCAGCCATGCTTTATTCTTTCTCACTTCCCCACCTGTGTTACTACCATTCCTTCTGCCTTGACTGACATATTTCTCTGAACTCCAAATAAAGAGACTATATAAAATCCACTGTTAAAATTAACCTAACATAAAGACTGTCCTTTCTGTCTGTCTCTTAAACTACTATTTTTGGGTTGTCTTTTCTCCTCAAGTTTTGTGGTTTGTTGTTTCAGATGATGGTATGAAGACTGAGATCACAATGTTAGGCATGAAGCAGGAATTTTGTGAAGTAACAGAACCACATAGGGAGGAGTTTGATGGATGTAATGAAACTGTGTCTCAGCATGCCAAACATAGAAGAGACAGTGAGCCTAATGGCAATTTGGAAATGCACGATGGGGATGCCACAGGTGAAAAAATATATAAATGTGATGAGTGTGGGAAAACTTTCACCTGGATCAGAGGCCTTCAGATGCATAGGAGGATCCATAATGGAGAGGAGCCATACCCATGTACAGAATGTGGAAAGGCCTTCATCACACATGCGGAACTTACCCAGCATCAGGGGCTTCACAGCAAGAAAAAAACCCATAAATGTAAAGAGTGTGGGAAAAGCTTCAGTCAAAAGGCAGGACTCTTCCAACATCTTAAAATCCACACTGGAGAAAAGCCCCATCAGTGTAGTAAATGTGGCAGGTGTTTTAGTTGGAGATCAGTTCTTAGGAAGCATCAAAGTCTCCATACTGGAGAGAAACCTTTTGAATGTATGGACTGTGGGAAAGCCTTCTGCCATAGTTCACACCTCATTGAACATCAGCAATTCCACAACAAAGAGAAACCTTATGCATGTAATGAATGTGGGAAAGCCTTCAGGCAGTGTTCACCTCTTACTGAATATCAACGAATTCACAGCGAAGAAAAACCCTATGAATGTAAAGTATGTGGAAAAGCCTTCACTCAGTATGCCGGCCTTAACCAACACCAGAGAATCCACACTGGAGAGAAACCTTTTCAATGTCCCGTATGTGGATGAGCCTTTAGCTGGAGCTCAGAACTAATAATACATCACAGAATCCACTCAGGGGAAAAACCCTATGAATGTGCTGAGTGTGGAAAAACCTTTAATGTGATCTCAACCTTGATCATACGTCAGAGAATTCACACTGGGGAGAAGCCCTATAAATGTGATGAATGTCTGAAGCCTTTAGTCAATGTTCAGGCTTAATAAACACAAGTTAGGAGGCAAGCATGGAAACCCTCCTGAGCCAAGAAAATATAAATGTGATGAGTGTGTAAAGACCTTTACTCTGTCAACTGGCCTGAGGAAGCACAAAAGAATCCACACTGGAGATAAGACTTACCAATGTCCTGAGTGTGGAAAGGCCCTCACAAGGAGACAGGATCTTATCGAACACCAGGGGATTCAAAACAAGGTGAAGCTCTATCAGTGTCAAGTGTGTGGCAAAGCCCTCAGTCAGAAGACAGGTCTTAGTTGCCATCTCAGAATCCCCCCAGGAGAGAAACCTTTTGAGTGTTCTGAATGCGGGCCAGCTTTCTGCTGGAAGTCAGATCTCAACAAACATAAAAGGGTCCACTCTGAGGGAAAACTCTATAAATGTGAAGAGTGTGGGAAAGCCCATAGGCAGAGAGCAACCCTGGATCAACATCAGAGAAGCCACATTGTGCCAAGACCTGGGAGTGGGGTGAGTGGTGCAAAGCCTGCAGTGGAAGCTCAGCCCTGATTAATCCCCAGAGAATCCACTACAACTGAACACCTTGCCCACGTGTTTGGTGACAACTTCAAGTAGTATCCAGGATTTTTTCTTACTGAGATAAAATGTTTCTTGAACTTCATTGTTTAAGAACATCATGGATGCCACATTTAAGACTTTTTATAAAAATCATAAATACTGTGAAAGTTGAGAATTTAGGAAAATAAACATCGAGGAATTTACCTGCAATTACCTTTTGTAAATGCAATGAAGTATCAGTGCAACAAAAAAGTATACAAGGGCAGTTGTTTAAAAATTATATTTTTCTGCTGAATTATTTATTTTGTTTTGAAGCCATTTCAATTTCTGACTAACTTTAGCATAGCCTAGTGTTGAAATTACTTGTTTGAGTACCAGTTGAGGACACTGGAATATCTAAGAGCATGGAATGTGCAAGGTGCGTTGTCTCTGTTTCTTTCCTACCTTGGCTACCTGACCAAGCAAGCCACAATCTAGAAGACAAATAGTAGGTGGGTTAAAGACCCTTCCACATCTCCACTCCAGAATCATCATTTCCTAGTGAAAAAAGGATGTGTAATATTCTAAGTAGTATGGAGGACATAGAAATTTTGGCCCCTAGTAACTCAAAATTTAGTGGGGCCATCATGGCTAAAGCCCAGGGGATATATTTTCCACTGTGAACACAGCTCCTTGAGTTCAAATGGAGATGGACAAACCTTTCATTTCAGCATTTTCACCCTCCTACAAATTATATTTCCTCAACTGAAACCCCTTTCAGCTTCAGCACTAACTGTGTCCCTCATTGGTCAAGGATGTGGGGGACTTCTTTGCCGAAGCTGATAATCATTTTCAAACACTGGAAGAATTGCACTTCTTTGTGCTGGTCACAGTGTAACAGCTCTAGACATGACATACTTTTAAGTTTACTCTGCATTGTTAACATTTTATCTAACATTTTCCTTAATCTGCACAGCCAAGAAAACAATAAACCAAGCCCTGATTTGAAGTGTTTGCCAACATCCAGCTTTCTGTGGTGTACAGTACTTGCACCATGGCTGATTTCCAGTGAAATCACTGAAGTCATGGAGTTGAGAAGAGATGGGGGGTAGCACAGGATTATAGATTCTTTCTACTATATAGACACACAGACAACCTCAAGAGCAGAAGTAATCATAAAATGTAGTAAATTGGGAATTGATATATTTTGAGTATATATTACCTTTTAATAATTAAATTGTAGCTGAGCGTGGTGGTGCACCCCTGTGGTTCCCAGCTACTTGGGAGGCTGAGGTGGGATGATCACATGGGAGTTCGGGGCTTTAGTGAGCTGTGATCACGCCACTGTACTCCAACCTGGGTGACAGAGTGAGACCCTGTCTCAAAAAAACATTAATATTAATAATTTAGTTGTCAGTTTTAATAATGTATTTTTTAATGTCTTGCAGAATTCTTGAAAATTTAACAAGCTCTGAGTCTCTTTGGTCAGGCTCCTACCCACCACTCATTCATGTTTCCTGTATTTGTTCCTTTTTATGGCTGAGTAGCATTCCATTGTGTGGATAAGTTACAATCTATTCTCCACTGCTATCATTTTGTCATTTCAGTAGTATTATATAAATCATGTAGTATGTAACCTTTTGCGATTGGCTTTTTGCACTCACTATAATTTGTTAGAGATTTATTCAGGTTGTTGGGCATATCAATAACTTGTTCCTTTTTGATGCAGAGTACTATTTCATGATATGTGTGTACCAAAGTTTGTTTAACCATTCATCATTGAAAGACATCTGGATTGTTTTCAGTTTTGGCTATTATGAATAAAGCTGCTGTGAACACTCATGTACAGCTATTGTGTGAGCATAAGTCATCGTTTCTCTGCAATAATGACCAGAAATGCAATTGTCAGGTCATCTGGTAGTCATACATTTAGTTTTTTGTTTTTTGTTTGTTTGTTTGTTTTGAGACTCTGTCACCCAGCCTAGAGTGCAGTGACATGATCTTGGCTCACTACAACCTCTGCCTCCCGGGTTCAAGCAATTCTCCCGCCTCAGCCTCCCGAGAAGCTGGGATTACAGGCACCTGCCACCACGCCTGGCTAATTTTTGTCTTTTTAGTAGAGATGGGGTTTCACCATGTTGGCCAGACTGGCCTCAAACTCCTGACCTCAAGAGATCTGCCTCAACCTTCCGAAGTCCTGAGATTACAGGTGTGAGCCACTGCGCCCGGCCACATGTTCAGTTTTTTTTAAAGAAACTACCAGACCTTGGCGGGCGCCTGTAGTCCCAGCTACTCGGGAGGCTGAGGCAGGAGAATGGCGTGAACCCAGGAGGCGGAGCTTGCAGTGAGCCGAGATCGCGCCACTGCACTTCAGCCTAGGCAACACAGGAGAATCCGTCTCAAAAAAAAAAAAAAAAAGAAAGAAAAAAGAAAGAAAGAAACTACAAGACTTTTCCAGAGTAGCTGTACTATTTTACATTCCCACTAGCAAAATATGAGTGATCCAGTTTCTCTACTTTTTTTTCTATCATTTGGTGTTTGTCTCTGTTTTTATCCTAATAGGTATTCTGATAGGTATAGTACAGTAATTTCTTACTATGCTTTTAACTTGCATTTCCCTAATTGCTAATGATGTTGAACATTCTTTGGTAAAATGTCTTTTCATGTCTTTTGCCATGTTCTGATTCCTATCTTACTATTCATTTTTGAGGGTTTTTTATATATTATAGAAACTAGTATCATCAGATATGGGTTTGTAAGTATTTTCTCCCAGTCCGCAACTTTTTTTATCCTTCTAAGAGGACCTCTTTAACAGAGCACAAGTTTTAAGTTTTTATCAAGTCCCAACGGTCAATTTTTCCTTTTTTGGATCATGTTGATGGCATCAAGTTTAAGAACTCTTTGCCTAACCCTAGATCCTAAAGATCTTCTATGGCTTTTTTTTTTTTTTTCATAAAATTTTTATAGTTTTCCTTTTAACTTTTTTTTTTTTTTTTAAATTTTGGTTTTTTGAGACAAGGTCTTACTCTGTTGCTCATGTGGGAATACAGTGGCATTATTACAACTCACTGCAGCCCTGACCTTCTGGGCTCAAGCAATCCTTCCCCCTCAGCCTCCCAAATAGCTAGGACTACAGATGTGTGCCACCACACACACGTCTGTAGTCCTAGCTACTGAAACGATCCTCCAGCCTCAGCCTCCTGAATAGCTGGGACTAGAAGTGTGCACCACCATTCCTGGCTAAATTTTTAATTTTTTTGTAGAGACGGTCTTACTATGAACCTTGACCTAAGTATCATGCCTTATATACAAATTAACAAAAAATGGATCATGGATTTAAAAGTTAAATGTTGGCCAAGCACGGTGGCTCCCACCTGTAACCCCAGCACTTTGGGAGGCTGAGGCAGGAGCCCAGGAGCAACCTGGGCAGCATAGAAAGACCCCGTCTCTACAAAAAATAAAAATAGCAACATATGGTGGTGCACACCTATAGTCCCAGCTATTCAGGAGGCTGAAGCTGGAGGAGTGCTTGAGCCCAGGAGGTCCAGGCTGCAGTGAGCTCTGATCACACCACTGCACTCCAGCCTGGGTGACAGTGAAACTGTTTCAAAAAAAATTAATAGTTTTGAGCTCAATTTCCTTAGTATTTATTAGTACATTAAAATTATTTCATATTGGATGAGTTGCGATAGTTGGTGTTTCTCAAAGAATTGGTCTATGTTGTTAAATTTATGTGTAGAGTCTGGGCGCAGTGCTCACACTTGCAATCCCAACACTTTGGGAGGCCAAGGCAAGAAGATTGCTTGAGGCTAGGAGTTGGAGACCAGCCTAGGCAACATAGCAAGACCCCCAACTCCACAAAAAAATTTAAAAATTAGCTGGGCATGGTGGTGTACACCTATAGTCATAGCTACCCAAGGGGATGACAAGAGGATCGTTTGAGACTAGGAGTTCCAGTCAGAAGTGAGCTATGATCACACACACCACTGCACTCCAGCCTGGGCAACAGAGCAAGCCTTGTCTCAAAAATAAAATAAATATATATGTAGAGAGTTGTCCATAGTATTCCCTATTATCCTTTTGGTGTTTGCATAGTCTGTTGTGATATCTCCTGTTTCATTGCAGTTAATGGTCTTCCCTAATTTTTTATTTATCAGTCTTACTAAAGGTTTTAATTTATTGATCTTTTCAAAAAACCCACTTTTTGTTTTATTTATTTTTTATAGTTTTTTTAAATTTTCCATTTGAGTTTTGCTCTTATTTTTATTATTTGCTTCTTTCTGCTTGCTTTGTGGTTTTCTTCTTTTTCTAGGCTCTTGAAGTGAAAGTTTCAATTATTGATTTGAGACTTTTCCTCTTTTCTAATGTATGCACTTACTGCTATAAATTTGCCTCTTAGTTCTGCTTTAGCTGTGTCCTACAAATATTGTTTTTTTTCAATTTTCATTTAGTTCAATGTATTTTTTTATTTTCCTTAAGACTTCCTCTTTGGTTATTGACTTATTTAGGAATGTATTCAGTTTTCAAGAATTTGGCAGTTTTTCCCTATCTTTCTGTTATAATTCCTAGTTTGGTTTTCTTGTGGATGCAGAACACATTCTAGTTCTTTTAAACTTGTTGAGGTTTGTCTTATGGCCCAGGATATGGTCCATATTGTTATATATTCTATGGGTACTTAAAAATAAATATGTATTTTGCTGGTGTTGGGCAGACTGTTTTATAAATGTCTATTAGTTGGTTGGCTGATGGTATTGTTCAGTTCTTCTGTATCCTTGATGATTTTCTGTCTAGTTGTACTATCACTTGTTCTCTAATATAATTGTGGATTTGTCTCTCTTTTCAGTTCTATCAGTTTTTGTTCACATATTTTGCCTACCTATTCTTTGGTACAGATACGTTTAGGATTATCATGTCTCATTAGTGAATTCACTCTTGTCATTATGTAATGTTCCCTCTGTGACTGGTACTTTTCTTTGTTCTGTATTCTACTCTATCTCACATTAATATAGTTGCTCCTCCTTTACTTTAACTGATATTTGCATGATCTACCTTTTTTCATCCATTTACTTTTTTTTGAGAGGGAATCTCACTCTGTCACCCAGGCTGGAGAGCAGTGGTGTGATCTTGGCTCACTGCAAAGTCCACCTCCCAGGTTTAAGTGATTCTCCTGCCTCAGCCTCCCAAGTAGCTGGGACTACAGGCGTAAGCCACCACGCCTGGCTAAGTTTTGTATTTTTAGTAGAGACAGGGTTTCACCATGTTGGCCAGGCTGGTCTTGAACTCTTGACCTTGGGTGATCCACCCGCCTCAGCCTCCCAAAGTGCTGGGATTACAGGCATGAGCCACTGTGCCTGGCCCCATTTACTTTTTTTTTTAGATGGAGTCTTGCTCTGTCACCCAGGCTAGAGTCCAGTAGCATGATTTTGGCTCACTGCAACCTCTGCCTCCCAGGTTCAAGCGATTCTCCTGCCTCAGCCTCCTGAGTAGCTGGGATTACAGGTGCCTACTACCACACCTGGCTAATTTTTGCATTTTTAATAGAGATGGAGTTTCACCATGTTGGTCAGGCTGGTCTCAAACTCCTGACCTCAAGTGATCCTCTCGCCTCAGCCTCCCAAAGTCCTGGGATTACAGGTGTGAGCCACAGCATCTGGCCTACTTTTAATATACTTATATCATTATATTTGAAGTGAATTTCTTGTAGACAGCATATACTTGGTGCCATTTTATTTTTTGCTTTTTGTTTGTTCTCTGTGTTGCATTTTTTTTTCTGCTTTCCTGTGGGTAACTGGGACTTTTTTTTAAAGTCCAGTTTGATCTGTGTGTGTATATATATATATATATATTTAAGTATATCTCTTTGTATGGCATTTTTAGGGGATTCTCTATATATTGCATTTTATGTATGTAAGTTGTCACAGTCTACCAGTGTCAAGTTCACGTAAAGTATTTCCATACTTTACCTTTCCCAATTTATAATTCTTGTAAATACATACTCTACATACATTTAGAATTACTTTAGGCAGTGTTGTAGTTTTTGCTTCAATCATCAAACACAATTTAGAAAATTCAGGAGGAGAAGGAAAGTCTATTACATGTGCCAATTTTTGTTGTTGTTTGCTTTTTAGAGACAAGGTCTCACCCTGTCAGGCCAGAGTGCAGTGGTATGAACATAGCTCACTGCAGCCTCTAGCTCCTGGGCTCAAGTGATCCTCCAGCCTCAGCCTCCCAAGTAGCTAGGACTACAGGTGAGTGCCACCACACTAAGTTAAATTTTGTTGTTGTTGTTGTTGTTGTATAGATGGGGGTTTCACTATGTTGCTTAGGCTGATCTTGAACTTGTGGCCCCAAGCAATCCTCCTGTCTCAGCCTCTGGGATTACAGCGTAGGCCACTGTGCCCAGCCCAATATTTTTGCTTACTGTGTTTTGTCTTCTTTTCTGGTGTTACAAGTTTCCTTTTTATTTTTTTTTAATCATTTCCGATTGTTCAGAGAATTTCCATTAGCCATTATTTTACGGTAGCTCCGCTGATAACAAAGTCTCTTCGTTTTCCTTCATCTAAAAGTATCTTGATTTCGCCTTCATCCCTAAAGGATATTTTCTCTGGATATAGGATTCTGGACTGACAGTTCTTTTCTTTCAGCACTTGAAAAATATTGTGCCACTTCCTTCTGGCCTTTATTGTTTCTGATGAAAAATCCCTGTCATTCTCATTGTTTTTCCTCTATTTTTAAGGTATCATTTTTCTTTGGCTACTTTCAAGAATTTTTTCTTTGTCTTTGGTTTCCAGAAGGTTAATTATTACCTGTCTTGGTATGGATTTCTTTGGGTTTGTTATGTTTAGCATTTTCTCAACTTCTTGAATTTAGTAAGTTTATGTCTTTTGACAAATTTGGGAAATTTTCAGTCATTTTTTTTTACTTTTTCATCCTTGCCCCTCTCTCCTTTCCTTCTGGTACTCTAATTGAACATTAGCTCTTTGGTTATAGTTCACAGATTCCTGAGGCTGTTTTCAATTTCCTTAGTCTGTTTTCTCTGGCATTCAGATTGGTTAATTTCTGTTGTTCTCTTTCAGTTCAGTGATTCTTTCCTTTTCCCCTCTCAATTCTGCCATTCTGCCATTCTGCCTATCTACTGAGCTTTTTATTTCAGTTACTGTGTTTTTCATTTCTGAAGTTTCCATTTGGTTCTTCTTTTATGTCCTATTTGCTGAAATTTTCTATGTCTTTGCTGTGTCTGTTTTTTCTTATTATTTGTTTCAGGCATGTTTGTAATTGCTTGTTCAAGCCTTTTTGTCACGGCAGCTTTAAAATCTTTGTTAGATAATTCTAAGATTTGTCACCTCAGTTTTAATATTCATTTTTTTTTCTTTCAGTCTGAGAATTTCTTGCTCCTTGGTATGAAGAAGGATTTTTGACTGAAACCTGGAAATTGTTATATTATGTTCTGAACTCTGGATCTTATTCAGAATCTTTTGTTTAACCTGGCTTTCTCTGATACTACTCTGGCAGGGGGAGGTGGGGGTGTGCTGCCTCATTACTACCAGATGGAACTAGAAGTCCATCCTCTGTGATACCCAGCCTCCATTGACACCCCCACTCAGCCTCCATTAACACCCAAGGTGGGGAGCTCTTCATTATTTTTGGGTGGAGGGGAGTTCCAATTCCCCATGTGGTTTATACTGATGCTATGGTCATGGGTATGACCTCATTACTGGTGGGTAATAGTAAAAGCCCTGGGCCTTCAGTAGGCCTCATCTGACACCAGTCCAATGGAGAAGAGGAGGAGTGCCTTGTTTTTGCCAAATTGGGGTAGGAGTCCATGCTCTCCACATGGCCTTTATTGACACCAACTTAGTGGAGATATTGGGGTACCATTGGAGCCTGGTGAGGGTAGAAGTCTAGGCTTCTCACTGGGCCTTTGCTGTTATGGGTAGGGCTTGGGGCCACAGTTTTTTCTGTCATGTTTGGCTGGAGTAGAGCAGTTACTATCTAAAAGGGTTTTTTGTCTCGCTAAGCTGCCCCTTTCTTGATCCTTGGGCTGCAGCAGCAAGCTTTTGTTACGGTTAAATCTGCTTCTGTTGGCATTTTCAGGTTGCTACTGTCTTCAATTTCAAGTCTAGGATAAATACGGCCAAAAGAAGACCTAGGGAACTCATTACTGGGTCATTCCTTGAATCCTGAGGTTCCTATCCAGTCTGCCTTCTCTTCACCTTTTAGAGATTTCTTATGTTTGTTTTATATATAATCTCCAGAGCTTTTAGTTGTACTTAGTAGAAGGAACAGGGAGAAGTACATTTACTTCACATCCCAGAATCCTCACTTTATTTTTAATGAAGTACTCTCAGTAATTCACCTTTTTAACTTATGTCAATTTTAGCAAAAAATTCAATTTCCATTTATCATTTATTTCTTGTTCCTCAGAGTTCTCCTCTAACATCTCCCGACCAAGACACTGCTGAGGTCACAACTCCCGGTGTCCAAGATGGCTGTGGATGCAAAGAAGCCTGCTGACTAGCAGCTCCTCCTGGAGGGTTTTGTGATAGTAAAGGTGAAGTTTGAGGAAGACCACCTCAGGGATTAGGATTTTTACCTTCCAGAGAACCAATCTCTTGCCTGGGAGACCTTCAGCCAGCAGTTTAGACACTGCTGCTGCTAGGATTCCTTAGGACCCTGTCTGAACCTGAAAATTATGACATCTAGCAGTCTCTGGGGTGCAATGTTCAGTGAGAACTTTAAGCAAGGCTGATTTTTTCTTTTCTTTTTTTTTTGTCAACATGAGAGTCACTATGAAAAGGCTTATCCATTATGAGACTCAATGTTATTAATCTCTTATTACATAAGGAACACCTAGGTGCCACATTGGAGAGTGAGTCTGCATGGGTAATAAATTCTGAAAAAAACAAGGATTTACAGAACTTTATTTGTGATTTGACCCTATTCGGTACAATAAAGTGTTCATGCAATAAAATAGCTATGCTGAAACTGCCATAGAAAATTCTTTTTTCTTTTGAAATTTATGTTATTTTGTGCATATTATCTTTATTTCTAATTATTTTTGGCATAGCCAGTACTGGTACTACTTTTTTCCCCCTTAATAGTGATTGATGGTCATTGACATATAAAAAGAGTTTGGTGTTAGGTCAGTTGTCCCTCTTTCCATCCCACACTGGAAACCTAACTGAGGTTTAGTGGGTGTGTAGCAGCTCCTCCAAACACCCATGCCCCACATTTTCACCATATTACATTTATTTCACCCCCTGGTATCCTATCATATGTAGGTTTTATTTTCATTTCCCTTCACTACATATTTCATCATCTTGTTCTGATGACTTCCTGTATTGATGCTACCTGACCTAGTCACCCAGGCTCCAAACCTTGGAGTCATCCTTGATTCCATCTATCTTGTTTCTCCACTCCACAATCAAGCAGAACTATTCTATCTCTACAGAGTGCTCAAATATGTCCCTTATTTTCCATTTGTGTTGTTATTCTTTCTCTTATTGTATAAACATGTATTAAGTGCTTATTATATGTCAGGCACTTCTAGGCAGTGGAACTAACAGTGGCGTACAAAACAGACAGTCCCTCCTTTCATGGAGCTTATATTCTAGTGAACATGAAGTAAGAAGGTGAGATAAATAACAAATAAAAGCACTTTAGGCACTAGTAAATATCATGGTCAAAATACAATTGGGTTATAGGACAGAGAAGGAAAGATTTAAGGTATTGAATAGGTAGAAGCTGTATTAGTCTGTTCTGTGGTGCCATGAAGGAATACCTGAGACTGGGTAATTTATAAAGAAAAGAGATTTAATTGGCTCATGGTTCTGCAGGAAGCCAATTGGCTCATTGGCTCTACAGGAAGCAGATGGTGCTGGCATCTGCTCAGCTTCTGGTGAGGCCTCAGGGAGCTTTTACTCATGGTGGAAGGTGAAGCAGGAGAAGCATGTCACATGGCAAGACAGGAAGCAAGAGAGCTACGGAGGAGGTGCCACACTTTTAAAACAACCAGATCTCACATGAACTCAGAGCAGGAACTCATCATAAGGAGGGCACCAGGCCATTCATGAAGGATCCACCCCCATGACCCAAACACCTCCCACCAGGCTTTACCTCCAACACTGGGATCAATTTTCAATATGATATTTGGAGACGACAGACATCCAAACCATATCAGACGCTGAGAGGAAAGCAGTCCAGGGGTGGGTCAATCGCTCTAGGAGCATTAGGGACCCATTCTCCCTTTATCTCTGCCACACCATGGTTTGTAGCTCTTTTTCTCAGTATCACCTCATAGTCCAATGAAGTTCTAGAACCTCAGTCCACATATCTGTTCTAGGAAGGGGGAAAACAGGAGGGCCACTTATTGGAATTCTCACATAACTTTTTAATATTTAATTATAATAAAATACAATAGTCTCCACTTATTTGCAGGTGGTACATTCCAAGATCCGCAGTGGATGCCTGAAACTGTGGATAGCACCAAACCCTATATATACTATGCATGAATTTATTTTTCCTCTTGACAATTTCACAGATAGAAGACTCATTCTCACTGTAGATCTTAACATCAGCGTATGATCTTTTTTCTTATTAAGTCAAGGACTTCCACCTCTTCACTTAAAGAAGGCACTTTATGGCTTCTATCCATCATATCCAAATTGCCAGCATCACTACTCTTGCACTTTAGGGCCATTAAATAAAATAAGGATTAGTTGAACACATGCACTGTGGTACCATGATGGTCAATCTGATAAGCAGAACAGCTACTAAGTGACTAATGGGCTGGTAGCATCTACAGCTCAGATATGCTTTACAAAGGGATCATTTGCATCCTGGGTGGGACGAAGCAGGACAGTGAGAGATTTCATCACACTACTGAGAACACTGTGCAATTTAAAACTCATGAATGGTTTATTTCTGGAATTTTCCATCTAATATTTTTGAATAGAAGTTGACCATGGATAACTGAAACCATAGAGAGCAAAACTGTGGATAAAGGGGGACTACTTTGCATGTAACACAAATTTATCATCCTCTTTTTCAGATGTACAGTTTAATAATGTAAAGAATATTCACATTGTTCTGCAGCCAATCTCCAGAATTCTTTTTATCTTGCAAAACTAAACCTTATTCCCATTAGAAAACAACTACCTATTTTCCCCCTGCCCTCAGCCTCTGGCAACCATCATTCTACTTTCTGTCTCTAGGAATTTGACTATTCTAAATACCTCATATAAGTGGAATGATACAGTATTTGCCTTTTTGTTACTGCTTTATTTCATTTAGTGTAATGTCATCAAGTTTTATCCCTGCAGCATGTGTCAGAATTATTTTCCTTTTTAAGGCTGAACAATTATCCATTGTTTGCATATATCACATTTTGTTCATTATTCATCTATCAATGGACACCTGGGTTGCTTTTACCTTTTGGCTATTGTGAACAACATCGCTATGTGCATGGGTGTACAAATATCTCTTTAAGACCATTCTTTCAATTCTTTTGGGTGTATACCCAGAAATGAAATTGCCGGATGATACGGTCATTCTACATGAAAGTTTTTTAGGAACCACCATACTGTTTTTTATAGTGGCTGCACCATTTTACATTCCCACCAACAATGCACAAGAATTCCAATTTCCCTACATTCTCACCAACACTTGTTATTTTCATATATAGGTATATATGTGTATGTGTATATATCTAGATAGATAGATAGATAGATAGATAGATAGATACATAGATAGATACATAGATACATAGATAGATACATAGATAGATACATAGATATAGACATCATATCTGTTAGAATAGCATATATATAATATATATGAAAGTAACAAGTGTGTGTACAATTCTCTCTCTCTCTCATATATACATATATGCTATTCTAACAGATGTGAGGTCACATAACGTTTTTATTTATACATGTCATTGGTAGACATCTGGTGGTGATGGTGATGGTAGTGGTGGGGTTTTCCAATAAATGTTCTTGTTGCTTAGGAAAGACATAATGAATATTGGAATTGGCACTTGGAAACTGCCTCACTAATGGCAGGCACTAGACAGTACCTAGTTTTTCAGTGTTATTTGTCTCTGCTTCTCCTACATTAACCTTTAATCCCAACAGAATTCACCTCTGTTACTTGCACACCTAAGCCTATGTGGTATGTGCTGGGGCATGTAAAGTTTAATCAGTCACTGAAGGTCTTGCCTACAAAATTTTTATAGCTGTGTACAGAAAATGAGACGTGGGCAAAAATAACTATAATATCCAAAGAATGTTGTACATACTATAGTAGGTATAGATAAAGAGCTTTGAGAGTTCAGAGACATAATAGATTTAGCTTCTAAAGGGAAGACATAGGTATTTTTAATTTTTTAAATTCTGCACAGCTGTACATTAACTTGATTATTTTACATTTTATAGGCTTTACTACAGTCTTGGAAGCATCATTGTCCTGGATAATAGCTGTTATTTTGACTGTTGAGTTAGAATAAACTTACTACTCTCATTATTTAGAGAGAAGGAAACTCTGGGAAGAATGTTATATTGTTGCCAATTTATCTGGGATTTTAAAATTTATTGCAATCTGTAAAAGACATTATATTAAAAATAGGAAAACTGGGCAAGACAGTGGTCATGGATGTCAGAATCTGCTAAGGAGTATGTAACAAACTGTCTGCTGGAAAGAAAAAAAGAAAGAAAACTGGAGTGCCTAATCATGGTATAACAGATGACTCCTCAGAAGCCTGCAACCTTTGGCTTAGGCTTGCCAAATTACTACCTGAATGGGAGGGATGGCTATTTCAACGCCTAATTTTGGCCGTGCTAGCATTTATATGTCTCTAATGCTTATGCTATTGTGGTAAGATTGTAGCTACCCAGTTCACGCAAATAACAATTCAACTCATATGATGACATAACATCACACTGAAGAAGACAAATCAGAAGGTAGCATAACAAATGTGTTTAGCCTCATTCATACCTTACTGATATGTAAGAGACAGACAAGTTGATTTAAAATTTTGTTAAATTATCAACAGTCTGATTTTTAAAACATTTTAAAATTATCTTCTTAGTTCCACCTGTCTCTAAATAGATGAAACCACAGGCCTATTTCCTGTGAAATATTGCCCTAACAGGAAATGATGCTTAATTGATTCTTGCAATGCTAATCCCTACAAATATATAAGCACAATGAGGAACTACTGTATATCCACTAAGAATGAGAATAATTGAATGGAAAAAAACTCAAAATTTTCTCTTTTTTTCCTCCTGCTTTCACACCATAACAATCAACACAGAAGACTTCTATGACCAAATGTGTGGGAATTTCTCCCCACCAAGCAAGCAAGCAACCAATCCTGTAGCAAACGTCAGCTGGGTGTCTTCTAATCCAGTTCAATTCTGACACTATCTACCTGGAGTTAGAGTTGGATCTCATAGGTTAAAGGCCCAGTCCCATAAGACTGCAACCAGCTTTAGATGCCAAACACCAGTAGTAGATTGTCACCCATACTTCTGACAAACCAATTATAAATTAGGGTTCCCTCTACTCACTGCTTGGGTTTGGTTTGCTAGGATGACTCATATAACTCAGGAAAACAGTTTACTTATGCTTACCCATTATATTATATTATATTATATTATATTATATTATATTATATTATATTATATTATGTATTATATATCATAAAGCCTATTATGAAGGGTACAGATGAATAGCCAGATGGAAGAAGTACATAGGGAAAGGTATGTGGGAAGAAACATGGATCTTCCAAACCCTCTTCAGGAGCATCACCCTTCAAGAACCTACACATGCGCAGCAACCAGGAGGCTCCAGGAACCCTGTCCTTTTGAGATTTTATGGAGGATTCATTATGTAAGCATGATTGGTTACATACATCACTGGCTACTGGTGATCGACTCAAACTTCAGTCCCTCTCCCTCCCCTGAGGTAGGGGGTGGGGCTGAAAGTTCAAACTCTCGAATAGTATGGTTGGTTGCCCTGGCAACCAGCCCTCCTGCTGAGGTTACCTAGGAGCTCATCAAGGTTCTTCTCATCAGTACAAAAGATGTTCCTATAACTCAAGAGATTTAGGTTCCTATAAATCTCTTCCAAGAGATTTAGAAGATTAGCGTCAGACACACTCTGGTCATTTAGGAAATTACAAAGGTCTTAGGAGCTCTGTGTCAGGAACCCAGGTCAAAGACCAAATATTAGCTCAGGAAGCAGGGGCACAGAACACATATATATTTCTTATTATATCACAATATTCAAACTTCATAAAATCAAAGATTTTTTAAAAATCTTAAAAGAATCCAAAGGAGGAAAAAAATACCTTATCTATAGAGAATCAAAGATAACAATTATATCTAATTCTCCTTAAAAACCATGTAAGCAAGAAGATAGTGAAATAAAATATTTAAACTGTTGAGAGAAAATACTGTCCACCTAGAATTCTGTACCCTGCAAAATTATCCTTCAAAAGTGAAGGAGAAATAAAGATTTTCTGAGACAAAGAAAAACTGAGGGAATTTGTTACCAGTAGACTTGCCTGGTAAGAAATGTTAAAATAAGTTATTCAGAGAGAAGGAAAATAATATAAGTCCAAAATTTGGATCTACTTATAGAAAGGATGAACATCAAAAAATGAATACATGAAAGTGAAATACTTTTTTAATGCTTAATTGATCTAATAGATAATAGTTTGTTCAAATAATAATAGCAATAATGTATTCAATTATGTATGCTTTTGTATAAGGGAAACCAATGACAGTAATGATACAAAGGACAGGAGGGTTCCAGGAATTAGGAATATTTTGTTATTAAAAGGTACATACACTACCCAAGAAACACTATAGTGTTATTTGAAAGTGTATTTGGATTAGTTGTAAATGCATATTGCAAGCTCCAGGGCGGATCATGAGGTCAAGAGATCGAGATCATCCTGGCCAATATGGTGAAACCCCGTCTCTACTAAAAATACAAAAATTAGCTGAGTGTGGTGGCATGCTCCTGTAGTCCCAGCTACCTGGGAGGCTGAGGCAGGAAAATCGCTTGAACACAGGAGGCGGAGGTTGCAGTGAGCCAAGATTGCACCACTGCCCTCCAGCCTGGTAAGGTGACAGAGCAAGACTCTGCCTCAAAAAAAAAAAAAAAAAAAAAAAGTAAATGCAGAAGCATAATTTATATACTAAGAAAGGAGAGAAAAATAAATCATATGAAGTGCTCATTTAAAACCACAACAGGTTAAAACAACAATGAGATGCCACTACACATCTATTAAAATGACCAAAATCCAGAATACTGCTAACACAAAATGCTGGCAAGGATATGAAGCTACAGGAACTCTCATTCATTCCTGAAAGGAGTACAAAATACAGTTTGGCAGTGTCTTACAAAATTAAATATACTCTTACCATATGATCCAGCAATCACATTCCTTAGTACTTACCCCAAACTTATGCCCATACAAAAACATGCACATGAATGTTAATAGCGGCTTTATTTGTAATTGCCAAAATTTGTAACCAGCTCAGCTTACAAAACTGTCCTTCAACAGATGAGTGGATAAACTGTAATACATCCAGACAATGGAATATTATTCAGTTCTAAAATAAAAAGAAAAACTATCAAGCTATGAAAAACATGGAGGAGACTTATATCCACATTGCTGAATGAAAGAGGCAAATCTGAAAAGGCTACGTACCTATGATTCCAACTAGATGACATCCTGAAAAAGGCAAAACTGGGGAGACAGTAGAAAGATCAGTGGTTTCCAGAGTTTAGAGGGGAGGAAGGGATAAACAGGCAGAACTTCGAGGATTTTTAGGACCGTGAAACTATTCTTTATGATACTATAATGGTGGATACATGTCATTATACACTTGTCAAAATGTGCAACACCAAGAGTGAATGCTAATGTAAACTGTGCACCTTGAGTGATAATTATGTGTCGATAAAGCCTCATTGATTGTAACAAGTTTACCACTCTGGTGGGAGATATTGATAATGGGAGAAGTTGTGCTGGTATGGGAACAGGGGATACGGGGGAAATCTCTGTATTGTCAGCTTAATTTTGCTGTGAACCTGAAAGTGCTCTATAAAAAGAAAGTTTATTAATTTTTAAAAATGTTGACTATCATCACTTTACTATCATCACTCTACAATAGGGCATGAGTGAGAGAAATAAATCCAAGATCACCGATGTGGGGAGCATGCTATCTGCTTTCTCTTTCAACATACACACACACGTGCGCGCACACCCACACACACACACACACAGCCCTTGTCTTTCCAGATGATCCTTAACTGGAAAGAGAAATATCAGAAAATTTCCTTGGCTAACATTATACTATACTGATGCAGTCTCAAGTTGATGTGGAAAGGAGAGAATAGAAAACAGGGGCAAGAAAAGATTGGATGACCAGTTGTTTAATGCTCAATTTTTTGGCCTTCAATTGTTTAAAGCTTAATTTTTATTTTGGCCATCTCCAACAGAATAGTCTTGGGTATGGCTAAAATTGAACAGAAATTATTTTTAGAGAAAATTAATTTTTAGAAAAAGAAAAGAGGTGAGGAAGACTCCCAATTAGCACAGGCTGTTCTTTCTCTTTCAGAGAGAATCCACTACGAAATAGCTACCTTGTTAGGCAACTGGTAAAGAGTGTTGCAAAACAAAAATGTGGAAAGTGTCAAGAATCTGCCAGCCCTTTGTTGGACAAGCTATGCTATCACTATTTAAAAAAATCAAATTATACTAGTGGAACAATTTGAAGAGTGGGTAACATTAATTGAATGAATTCTTAATCTCTAATACAAGTTGGATGATGATGTAACTTTTCTTTGAGGACCAGCTACCTTCTTATTTAATCATCTGCTCATTTCGAGCCAGTTAGGAGAAATTAACATTTAAGAATATCTACAACCAAGCAAAAGTCTCGCCAAAACTCTAGACATCAGAAAAAAGTAAGGTAGTGTCTACTTAGGAGAGCAACTGCCATCCACAATCCGAAAGACCTGAATGAAAATCCCAAATAAAGAGAGCATTTTGAATGAAACTGGGGGAAATAAAAATAGTGGAAAATGTCTAAAGATTCATCGCTGAAAGATCAACTGAGAGGGTAAGAAGAATGTTTGGCTTGTTTCTTGCCACAATTTATTGAGAAGCAGACATTTTCTCTGAGAATTGTCTCCAAACACTAAATAAGACAAGTAGGCAAGGGTCAAAGTTTAATGTAATTTCTTATAAGGGATTCTTATCTCCGTGGAAATGCTGGCTTCCAGCCTTCAGCACTGGATTATCAAACAATATACACTTTTGATAAGGTACAGCCTGGCCCATAGCAGTAAAATCTTATAAGCCATATCAAAGATCCTCAACAAGGGCAAACAGACACTCCCGGAAAACGGAAAAAGAAAAAATGTTTATTATTTAATTCTGGATATATGACAGTTTTGTATTCTCCTAAAAGTGATGTTAAAGGAAGAATTTTAGGAATGTTTGTAATTTTTTTAAGGTAACCACAATCTTAAAAATAAAAAAAACTCGGGCAAAAAAACAAGTGAGCACTGATTCATTAGAATCTGGGAAAGCAATTCCTTCAGCTACAGAACGGGCCTCATTTGGCTGACTGGATAAGGGCTCTTAATCCCAGCACTCAGGCAGTGCTCCAGTACTGGTTCGATTTCCGCAAAGTCCTTCTTGCATCCACCTTCTCCGCGTTTCTGGTGAGAGAGCAAGTAAGCTACGCTCCCCAACAGATTTTAACAGGGTGGGAGGACAATTTGAGAGAAACATCTGTGGTCTTGGAATGTCCAAAAGCTACTTGGCACCAATTACAACTGAGTGGAAAATTATGGCCCTGCTGGGCTCCAGATCTTAAGACGGGAAAATGTTGGAAATTCCTCCTGGTCACCATCTACCCTAACGTCCCGCCCCCGCACTCACGGCTTTGAATATGTAAACAATTTCAATTTCCTCTACTAACAGTTGATTTACCCACAGAATGAATCGAAGGGTACTCAACAAATGGGAGGACTCGGGCAGCTTTCCTGGGATATCACACCATATAGACTGAGAATTTCAGAAACGCAAAGTGCGCGTCCCAGCAGGGCGAGAATGGCGTTAACTATGTCACCACCGCCCAAATTCCCTATAATTTACCACTTATCGTTCCTGGCTTTATTCTCCGTGCGTGCAGGGACATGTAATTCTCTAGGAGACGGTGGTCCGGACTTGGTTCCCGACTCCCTCGTGGCTGCAAACAGGGGCAGCTGATTTGGGTGGATGCAGAGGTTGTGGCCAGGGGAAGGGCCGCGGGGCAGCGCGTAGAACTGATTGTAAACCCAACTTCCCGCCTCGGAGCGAGCCGCGGCTCGGAGTAGCGTCATTCGAAAGCCACCGGAGATATCGAGAGAGCTCCTTAACTGCTCACTGAGCAAACTTCGTTTTACAGCTTTGGGGTTGATATTTGGGAAACTGGGTCCTAAAAGTGGCTTCTGGTCTTCAGAAGGCTTTGTTCTCCGCTTTTGATTTTTTGACACCACGGGTTTCACACCCCACCCCACCCCCCAGTCTCACACAAACCACTCAAACTCGATTGCGTCTCCATTGCGCTTTGGGGAAAAATAATTTAAGATTCTCGCTTCTGAAATACAGCGTGATGGTTAAGAGCATGGGCCGTGGAAACAGACCCGGGGAAAGCCTCAGCTCGGCCACTCTTTGCCGCGTGACCCTGGGTGGCACCTTCTAAGGGTGATTCTGGGATTCTATGAATTAATGCATGGAAAGCGCTTGCGAGAGCGCTAGCCGGAGTCCGCGCTATTTAGGTGTTTGCCAATATTATTGTTGTTGTTAAGGTGTGAGGGATCTTGGAAGACAGAAGCCAGGAATAAAGTAAACCTACAGAGACGTCCCTCCCCAAACCCCGGCCGCTACCCCTGCAAGACCTTGTGGAGCATGTTAGGTTTCGTGGCGTCGCCAAGTTGTACCTCCTGCGCTTCGCCGCAGATAAAGCCCCAGCTTAGAGCATGGGGTCGCAACCACCCAGAGCCTTCAGACCAGTGAGCACTTTCCGCACAGGTTTGAATCCCATGAACAGTGATTTTTCTTCAATTCTCTAGTCTCGTCTACGTTTTTTGTTTTTTTTTTAAGGTTTTTTTTTTTAAGGAATTTCCGACAAATAGTGTATTAAGCCTCACTCAGCCTTTGCTTTTATCAGCATAGTGTATTTGCTTATCTACTGACACTCTCCCTGACCATTTTATTAATTCCTTCCGTGCAGAGACTACAACATTTGGGATACTTATACAACGAAAAAAAGGTGTTAAACATATTATAACTTTTTACTATGGAAATGTAAAATATTAAAAAAAGGGAAAAAATGATATGATGTAGCCTCGTATATCCATCACCCAGCCTCAAAATTAACAATATTTTGTCAATATTTTTAACATATATTTCAAACTTTGTCTTTCTGCATTTTAAAGCAAGCATATTATTTTATTCATAAAAACTTCACTATGTAAGAGTGAGAGCTTTTTTCTTTTGTTTTTATTTTGAGAAATAGCATTTTTAAACATATATTAAAACACTATATCTTACTGCTTATTTGCTGGGAATGTCTCATTTTTAAAATGGCTTTCTCAGATTTCTTTGTTTTTCCTATTTTGACCAGTGTGTTAATTTTCTTAGAATGGACTTAGAGGATTAGGTGAATTACTTCATAGCACAAAGTTGCTAGGGCAGAATTTTGCTTATTGCTTATATGGGCAGCAAGATAATTTTCCTTCTAAGGGCCAGTGTTAAATACTGACCTTATCTCTATTTAATTTGAACATAATCAACAATATTGTTCAAGAACAGAGTCACCTAAATATAATGTCTTTGACAGAGTGTGGTATTTGCCTCATCTCTCTGCTCTAATTGAATGCCTTGCACTTGTCTCCTAAAAATTTCCTTTCCCTGGATTTCACATAGTGCTCTTTATAATTAACCCAGAATATTCCTTTGGTGAAAACATACTCTCTTTTCAGAGGTTTGCACCTAGGATCTTTAGCAGTCAAGGCTCACCTGTCACCTTTGCTAAGAAGACATCTACTGATAAATTATTTTTAATCCAGTTGGTGTGGATACGAATAAATTAGCTGTCAAAAGTTTTGCAAGATTGGAGATATTTTGTTTTTAAGTTTTTTATTCTTTTGACTAACTAAATATGTACAACTTACCCTTGCAGTATTTAGAAAAATGGACAAAATACAGAATAGTTATTTAAAATGGGAAATAAGCCAAGGAATCACCAAATGATTTCCTGTAAATTAGATTTACTCCAAGAAATAGAAATTCCAGAATATTAATCATTTGTAGTTAAAATCTTGAATAAGGAGAGTTCCCCACGATGGATATAAATCTCATATTTCCTATAGTCCTTTGAAATAACAAATTCTTCTCCTGACTCAAAGACGAAGGAAAAAACATTCTATTGCAGACGGCCTGCATAGGTTGGTTTATGACGAGTCTTAACATGTAAAAGTTAAATTGTCATTTCCACAATACCTACCACTTCCTCAATCTTCCCAGTTTTAATAAACACTACTTCCACTTGCCCCACTACTCAAGCGAGAAGCAGGAAACTCATTATTGGTCCTTCCCTGTCACCAACTGTTTAGGTTTGCCTGGGACTGGGGGGTCTCTCAGAGACATGGAACTTTCTGTGCTGAAACAGAAAAGTTCCCAGCAAACTAGGATGAATTGTTCACCCTACTCATCACTCACAGTGTGTGTCCACCATTTTATCTCCAACATATATCTTGGACCCATCCACCTCTCTCCATTCCTATTGCCACTCTCCTAGTCTGAGCCACCACCACCTCTCGTGACAGCTGCTGCCCTGGCTTCCCAACTGGTCTGCTCACAGCTATTTCTGGCCACCTGGTCTCTCCAGAGCAGCTAGAATGATCTTTCAAAGAAATCAAACAGGGCTGGGAGCTGGTAGGAAGAAAGCCCAGGCAGGACCTGGTGAAAAAATAGCAGTTAGAATCACTATGCCAGAGAACACGATTAAAAGAAGGGTTTCCACTGTCCTGAAGCAGTCTGTGGAATCAGATCCTTTATAGGTAGTGTCTGCCAGCTTGAACTACAAGATGTTAGGAAAAAACTCCATCTTGTCCTACATAAAATCGTTCCATTGGTAAATCTAATGGTCGTTTCTTAATATTATACTTTATTTCTCAGCTGTGTTTGACTGTTCACTCTTATGTCTTGAATAATTTAAATTTATCTTTACTTTAAAAACATTAATTACTAAGTAACGTACTCATTATGAAAAAAGTAAAATCTTGAAAAAACCTTTAATATAGAAAGTTAAAAAGCTTCATATTCTCACTGTTAGAGATACCAGCTATTAACAAGTAATATACATCCTTCTGGAGGTTTTTTATGTTTATATCAATCAGAGCCTTCCAGAAGTCCAAAAGGTTCATGCCATCTTCATTTTCAGTGTATAAAAAAAAAAGAAATGCCAAATAAGATTTGAGAATATTGAAGACCTTTAATTTAACTCTTAAAAAATACACAGTAGTTGTATGTATAATACATACACAGATATACATACACATACATAATACTTCTTTAAAGATAATATGAAAAGTCTATGTTTAGAACCTTCTTAAAATTGAGCCTGAAGCTAAATGGCCCTCACCAACATTAAATATCTAAACTCTCTATCATCTAAAACAAACAACCGTACTATACATACTGTTCTGCAACTTGCCTTTTTTAAAAAAAACTTAGAAGTGGGAAAATAGGCTGGGCAAAGTGGCTCATGCCTGTAATCCCAGCACTTTGGGAGGCCGAGGGGGGCGGATCACTTGAAGCCAGGAGTTGGAGACCAGCCTGGCCAACATGGCAAAACCCCGTCTCTACTAAAAATACAAAAATTAGCCAGGCATAGTGGCATGTGCCTGTAATCCCAGCTATTGGGGAGGCTGAGGCAGAAGCATCGCTTGAACTCGGGAAGTGGAGGTTGCAGTGAGCAGAGATCACCCCACTGCATGCAGCTTGGGCGACAGAGCGAGACTTCATTTAAAAAAAAAAAAAGTGGGAAAATATTTATAAACTACTATGTATAGAACAGCATTATTCCTATTAATAATCACATACCACTTTAATGTTTTGCTTAATCATAATTTATTTAACTAAGTATTCCACTTTGGTGGACATTGGGTCGTTTTAATGTTTAACACAGGTGTGAGAATAAAAAAGAGCCTCTCCCAACAAAGCTGAGAACAGAGATAGGACATTTCACAGGGAGGAAAAAAAGCACCAACATTCTTCTGGTAGAAAAGAAAAATTTCCCCTCCAAAATTCTGCACCAAATATCAAAAAGCACACAAACTCTAACGAGTGTAAGAATCTTCCTTCCTTCCTTCCAGTTTTTTTTGTTTGTTTTTTTGTTTGTTTGTTTTTGTTTTTGACAGGGTCTCATTCTGTGGCCCAGGCTGGAGTGCAATGGCGGCAATCAGGGCTCACTGTATAGCCTTGACGCCCCCAGGGCTCCAGCGATCCTCCGCCTTAACCTCCTGAGTAGCTGGGACCACAGGTGCGGGCCACCACTTCCGGCTGATTTTTGCAATTTTTGTAGAGATAGGGTTTCTCCATGTTGCCCAGGCTGGTCTCGAAATTCTGAGCTCAAACAATCCACCCGTCTTGGCCTCCCAAAGTGCTGGAATTACAAGCGTGAGCCCCCGCACCCAGCCTCAGGCTTCTTTTCTTGCTGATCATTTTATAATTGAGGTTGTCAGAGCTGGAAGGGACGTTAGGGGTTACTGTTCTGCTTCTCAAGTTGGGTTGGATTTAGTGAGTGGGCTTAGTTAAGAGCCACAATTAGGACCAGGCATCCTGACTCCCGCACCAGGGGGTTACCCACCCCACAGGCCCTTCCCAGTGTCGGTAGCAACTGGACTGAGCCAATCTTGTGCTAAACACAAAAAGACTTTCTTTCTTTCACTGTCCTGACCAAAGCAAGAGGAGTGCCATCGGGGTGCCTGCGCGCCTCTAATTTTTGTAAAAAAACATGTTCTCACCTGTTGCTGATTTATCATAGACTGATCAACACCAACTCCTAGAGAAAGTAACAAAAGAGAAAGGAGGGCATCTCCTGGCCCTCGGGCATATTACAGAAGCAAATGAAAAGGAATTACAGTCAGGTTTCTGGTACGTCACAGAAAACAGGAATCTAAGGACAAAGTTTAGATCGGGAAGCAAATCAACCCTTTGAATGCAGAATAAAGTGGCAGAAGGACCCGGCGAAGGTCCCAGCGTGTCTCGAGGGGCATACAGGGCGGCCAGCTGGAGCCGGGTCAACAAAAAAGCAGGTGATTTTTGTCTACCAATGAATGCCGGCACTGGTTCAACCTATTATTAGATATTTGCCAAGTAACTTCACTACTCTAAGTGACAGTCGTCATTTTTATGGTGGTTGTGAAATGTGTCTTAATTAAGACACCTGACTCAGACTGTGGTTATGGGGATTAAACCAGGAAAAACGATTAGATCATGTTTCTACAAGACTCACTGGGAGCACTACACAGACGAAGAAATTCAAGTTGTTGATTCTTTGTGTGACGAGGTGGCCGAGTGGTTAAGGCGATGGACTGCTAATCCATTGTGCTCTGCACACGTGGGTTCGAATCCCATCCTCGTCGGCTGCATAGCAAGCCTTTTGTTCCAGGAATCACAAATGATATGGTAAGCACTTTATTTGGCAAATTCATTCCGTATTCACCAGCCATTTCAATAATTCCCTCTGATCTTTCCTGCTCTCTGCTTCTTTAGTAACACTTGTCTTAGCTGTGAATGTAATTTGTTAGTTGATTTATTTGATTCAGGCTTCATTCTCATGCAAATTTTCATTCCTTCACAAGTTTTGCTTAGCGGGATTCCCCATTGAGGAAACAATTGAAGATTTAATTGAGGGCTATAGAAAAACATTGCCTGAAAAATTTAAAGGTACTTATAAAATCATAAAGAGTTACATATGCAACATTATGGGTATTGAACCGTATGGGTTACTTAAGGCATTTTCAGCCTAATTGTATATCTCTACTGAAATTTTCATTTATTATCTTAATGCTAACTTTTAAAGCAGTCACTATTGCCTAAGGATTCCATCTTTGAAAAAGGAAGGAGAGTGAGAGTGTCTCTTAGAGATATAGCAAAACTTACAAATACATTCCATAGAACATTTCTAGTTAGTACTAAAGCATTTCCTCCTGAGAAAGGAAAGAAGAATGTCAGTATTATGTAGTTTCCATTTGTAACTTCCATCTTGGCTGATCTTTTGAGAGAAAAAAAGGAATACACATAATTTTATTCAGTTTATTCAATTATTTTCATTTCGAAAATAAGTACTACATTCACATGATTCAAAAAATATGAAAAGTTGTATAGCAAAGTTTTGCCACTAATTACCTACTGCCATCAGTAGGACACTCTTATTAGCTTTCATGTATCCTTCCAGAAACATATATAAGACTATTATTTATAAGACTTGCATATATAAGACTACTAATCTCTCAAAGATATACTCTTAAGTGAAAAAAGCATGATGCAAGACAATATGTATAGGTGCTACTTGTAAAAAGAGGTAAACATACCTGTGTCTGAAGATATATACATATATATATAATTTTGAATATAGCATTTTATGTGAGTGTCTATATTTACAATATAAATGTCTAGGAGTAGATATACTGTGTCCTGGGTAACATTCATTTGTAAGATACTGTCAAATTTCTTCCATAGAAGTTGTGTTGACTTACCCTCCCAACAAAGTGAAAAGGAGGTCAGACCACACCTGCTTATGCAGCCCTTACAAGAGAGATTATTGTTTCAACTAGCGTTGTCCCAGATCATCTAAATGGAAGCTCAAGTACTCACAGTGAGGAGGAAGTGATTGAGAATCCTGGATTCTCATAAACTCAGTGACCTTGGTTTATTACAGATTTTCTGGGTAACTACTGGCAGTTTATACACTGGGCTTCATAAATATTCAATATTTAATGGATTTTTAGGGATTAATGGTGTTGAGCTTTGTGTGATTTGAGAGCACGACTCATTCGATTGTTTTAAATGGGAATGAGAATTTTAAATTGTCTAAGTCAGAGGTCTGAAATTGGATCACTGGCTTCAAAGCATTATTAGCTTTTGGCCTGATGCGATGGCTTATGCCTGTAATCCCAACACTTTGGGAGACCGAGGCGGGTGGATCACCTGAGGTCAGGAGTTCGAGACCAGCCTGGCTAACATGGCTAAAACCTGTCTTTACTAAAAATACAAAAATTAGCTGGGTGCAGTGGCACACGCCTGTAATCCCAGCTACTCCGGAGGCTGAGGCAGGAGAATCTCTTGAACCCCGGAGAGCGAAGTTGCAGTGAGCCAAGATCACACCACTGCACTCCAGCCTGGGCAACAGAGCAAGATACTGTCTCAAAACAAAACAAAACAAAACAACAACAACAACAACAAAAAACCATTATTATGCCGACGAGATTGCTCTAATTCAGTGGTTCTTAAATGTGTGGTCTCTGGAACAATAACATCATTATCACCTGGGAAAAAACGCTAGGTCTGGGGTCCAGCAATTTGTGCTTTAAAAAGCTCTCCAGGTGATCCTGGTTTATGCTAAAGTTTGGCACTGCTGCTCTAGTTTTGTTTTGCCTCCCCCTCCCCTTCTAAAACATGGTTAATCTAGATTCTGTGTGATTTGGTAAAATCTTCTCTCTCTCAGGATCCACCTTCCTCTCATCATTCCAACATCAACTGAGGGTCTATCCTGCCAGGATTAATCCCTCTAACTCCTGCACTGTCGGAGGGCCACAGAGCAGTAATGTGGTGTTAAAGACAGTAGCCAAAGACCACCAGGAACAAAGCAAAATCAGATTTAATACATAGATGAAGTGACAGGATATTCCAGAGTAACGGAGAAATGCAGTTCAACAAGAGGCTGGAGAGAACTGTCTTTTGTAAGGTTTGGGTTCCCATTCGAGGATTCTGAGGAATCTCTAAGAGAAGCAGGATCAGTTCTGGATTGCTTGGTGTTTCTGAGGTGGGGTTAGGAGTAGTGGGGATTAGCTAGGGATTGGGCGTTGTCACAAGGAGAGAGTGATCTTCGGTATCCCCAGTAGTACATGGATGGGTGTGGCAAAGCGGGTATGCGCACTCGTAAAAAGGCAGCAATTGCTCAAAGAGGGGACCATTGCGACATTTTACGGCTGCTGCATGATCTTGGAAAACAGTGTTTCCTGTTAACTTTGCATCTGGCTTTACCTGTCCTCCCAGCCCCTGGTAACAGCTTTTGGGGTTTTTTTGTTTGTTTGTTTGTTTTCAATTGGAGGAGATTTCCTTTCTTTTCGTGGTGACAGGTTTTCACTCTTCCCAAAACTTAGGAAACTGTTCTCCGGCTCAATGGGGTGGGAAGTTACCCGGAACGCAATTTCTCCTCCTCCGGCCTGAAGTCAGGTTGGCGGTAGGATTGCCAGATAAGATACAAAATACCCAATTAAATTTGAATTTCAGATAAAGGAAGAACAACATTTTGCATACAAATCAAGCAACACTACCTGGTGAGGCCGGGCGTCCGTGAGCGGGCTATGGGGCAAAGAGAGAGGCGAGGAGCGCCCCACTTGCCAAAGGAAAAAAAGTTCATTACCCTGCTCCCCTGGCTCCTGTCCACGTCTGCCTGGCCTTGTAGGGTTGGAGAAACAAACCCTCTTCTGGCAAAGGCAGAGGGGCAAACACTCTTCTGTGATCCAAACAGCTGGGAGTGCAGAGTCCCTGTCCAGGATACCACCCCTCACTGTATTAAGGTCCAGTGGGGTTGGGTCAGGGCAGTGAGGGGGATGGCAAGAAGTACTGAGAAGCTCTCAATCAGCCAGGGGCATAAATGTACTCAAATAACATCTACAACCAAAAGACCAAAAAGTATCTATTCCAGGCTCAGGGCTGCCCACTACAGATGCTGACTCCAATATCCCACCCTACCTCCCTGCTCCCTTCTCACCCCCAAAGGTGCTCAGGTGAGCAGCTCCCCACGGGGCTAACATCACACATCAGAAGGGTCGAAGTCCAGGGACTTCTCATAGGCATCAGAGGCTTGGGTATTCCCTTTGCCCTTCAGATCTAACCTATTTTTTTGGTGGGGGTGGTCAAAAACAAAAATGCAGATCCCTCTGCAGTCCGGAAACCAGTTCCTTCTGCAGTACTTCTCTCTGGGAGTGTCTTAGGCTTAGCCATAGTGGTGTGACCCCACCACACACACTGCAAAAGGACTGCTAATACCCCCAGCCCATTCCCCAGCCTCACTCATTAATAAGCACTTGCCGCAACCCAGAATCACATCTAGTGAGGAAGTTTCACATGGCTTGGAATCCTTTAAAACTGGACAGCAAACCACACACACACACACACACACACACACACACACACACACCACCTCCCTCCCCACAACCTCTGCCCCAGGGAGAAGAGGCTGCATGAGAGAAAGAAAAGGCCATATGCATCAGTGGCTGGGTGGCCAGGGCCTTGATGATGGTCTGGGCCTTGAGGGAATGGTGAGGCAGGGCCTCAGGACAGAGATGACAGGAATTCAACTAGATAGAGTGCTAACCTTCCTGTAGTCACAGACATCAGCTCTAGGGTGTGGTGGGGGTGGGTGTCAAGTGGCCAACTGGCAGCTCCCTGTGGCCCAGCCTGAAAGGGAGTGGGGGCTGGAGTCAGGTCTATTTCGGTCACAGGGCCTGAGAAGGCCTGCCAAGTTTGGATGGCTTTGAGTGTGAGAATAGCTGGGCGACAGAGGCAGTGACACAGGTCAGCCTCTCCTTTGCCCATTCTTAGCAAAGGAAGCCACCAATTAAAGATGTTATATAAAGAACTACATGTTAAAAAAAGAAAGAAAGAAAAAAGAAATATAAAACCCAAACCAACCAAATTACAGGCCGATGGGCGAATTGTAAGTGGTAGGGGGGTTAGTTAAACACATTTTGGTGCTTTGGAAGCCCCTCCCATTCCGTGCCTGCACTAGATCTTTTTTTCTAGAAGTGAGAGTGAGAAAATAGAAAATCTTTTTGTACATTTTCCTTTTCCTCTTTTTTTTTTTTTTTTTTTGGCCTTTCCTTTTCTTTCTCTTTTCTGTGGTCTTGGGTGCTCCCGGCCCCAGGGCAGGTAGACGGTCAGTTGGCCAGCACCACGGACTGGAACGGTTGACTAGGATATTGCATGGTGTTCAGGTTGTAGCTGAGGTCTTCCATGAAGGGTGCCTTCTCCAGGAAGAGGCGGTGGCACCACCTCCAAATACCTAGACCATGTAGAAGCTGCTGGCGTTGCAGGTGACAGTCCCACTGCCTCCAAAGAGGGCTCGGGTGTCACTACCCTGGCCATTGGCCCCATCAAGGAAGAAACTGGGCAAGCCACCACTGTTGTACTTGAGACTGTACGTGGCCTTGGGGCGAGAGCTGGGATTGAGAGGCCGGTTGGCCGGGATGAAGTTCAATGAATGCACAGACAGAGAAAGACTCCTGTGTTTCAACAAGCTGTTGGTGTTGAAGCGGGCCGTGGAGGCTGCTGTACTGGCTGCTGGCCACCTGCTTCACCGCTGGCTGCACCCCTACCACTTGTTGCCCCACCCCTCTTCTTCATCTTAGTGGAGCCTAATTTGGTGGCAGCAAAGGAGTCCATGGTGAAGGTGATGGGCTGGGCGAGGCAGAGGATGAAGGTGGGGCTGGGTGATGGGCAAAGCATAGCGACGGGGAGTTGGACAAGGAGCTGTCCTGGCTTCCGAGGAGAAAGAGCATCTGGTCGTCAGGAGTGAAACTGCTCTTGATCTTCATGTCCAGCTCCGGGGCCCCACAGCCGTCACTGTCATCCAGGTACAGCACTTTCACTGCTCCCTTCTCACCAATCTGGTAGGACACCCCGAAGGGGTCAATCCATATGCTCAGCTCCTCAGGCACATTGGCCCGCACATCTTCCACTGTCAGGCCACTTCGCTTAGCGGCCAGCTCCCCAACGGGGTCCACCATCTCCTCGGTGTGGAAGCCAGAGCCCTTCAGTGGTTTGTCAGGGTACCAGTGGGCTTCTTATTTCTTTTTCAGAGGCGCCAGAGCAGCTTGTTGTACAAGTAGAAGATGATGAAGTTCAGGGCTACTTTGATCTCCAGCTGCATGGTCCTTTCCTAGGCAGAGAATCAGCACAGGGGACGTGCACAGCCTTGGGCTCCAGAAGGCTTCCGGTCTCCACCGCGGCTGGGCGCTCTGCCAGCCTCGGGGCAGCTTCTCCCTCTAGAGTGGCCCTGAGCGCGGGGCGGCGGTCGCTCTCTCTTTTTTCCCCCGGAGCCGCCCGGCCGGGGGCCGAAGTCCTTTTCGTCGTCGAGGGTTGGGGGAAGCAGGCAGCTATGGTCATGACTCCCAAAAATAATTCCTTCAGCGCTTAGGAGGTTGGGCGGCTGGGGGACGAAGGGCTGGCGGGCGGCGACCGGGCGGGGAGAACGGACCGGAAGGTGGCCCGTGGGGGGGGCGGGGGGAGCGGAAGAAGGACCGGGCTGTGACCGCGGGACGGTCCTGTCCTCCTGGCCCTGCGTCTCTCGAGCTGCTGGCTTCTCTCCGCCGACGACCCGCACCTTCCCGCGCCCCGGCCCGAAGTCTATACATTTTTTAAATGTGCATATTCTTTGACACGGGAATTCTACTTCTAGGAATTTATCCTAGAGACAGACTCACACATATGTAAGATAATACGTGTCTGAAGCTCAGCATTGTTTATAAATGGAAAGTGATAGGAAATATTAATAGCTTAATTGCTTATCAATAAATGACTGGTGCATAATGAAATAGTATGCAGCTGTCAAAACAGAGCTGCAGCTCTACATGTATGGCTATAGGAAAATTTTCTACTATTTCTGTAAAATCCCAGGGCAAAATTATATATAAATATTTGCTTCTACATACCTAAAATATCTCTGAAAGGCTGTATAAGAAATGAAGGCCGGGCATGGTGGCTGACACCTGGAATCCTAGCACTTTGGGATGAGGAGGCAGGCAGATCACTTGAGTTCAGGAGTTTGAGACCAGCCTGGGCAACATGGTAAAACCCCGTCTCTACTAAAAATACAAAAATTCTTCAGGCATGGTGGCACATGCCTGTGGTCCCCAGCTACCTGGGGGCCTGAGGTGGGAGAATCTCTTGAGTCTGACAGGCGGAGGTTTCAGTGAGCTGAGATCGTGCCACTGCACTCCAGCCTTGGTGACAGCACTTCAGCCTCAGCGACAGAGAGAGATCCTGTCTAGAAGAAAAAAAAAGAAATCAATACCTTTGGCTGTTTCTAGTGGATGAAATTAGGTGACTAGTGGTAGGAATAAGTTGTATATTTCTATTTAACAAATTTTTATTTTGAAGATGTTTAAATATGCAAAAAACACAGAAAATAGACTAGTACATGTCCAGGATCCCTTAATCACAGTTCTAAAATCCATAAAATTCTAAAAACTCCAAATCTTTCCTCCATAAATTTGGCACTACAATCTATCTGAGGGGAAAACCTGAACTTCTTCATAGCCTTTATTTAACTCATTTAAAGTGACTAATCATAAATCTCAAAGCAGAAATATTGAGGTGTTTGATATGCTCTGAAACTCTGCTGGAAGTTACATAATGTACAGTGTATGCACATTATCTTTCTAAAATAAAAAAAAAACAAAAACCTGAATTTGGAAACACATCTGCTCCCAAAGGTTTATGTATTTTTAACTTAAGGAAAATATCACAAGATACAAATTTAGAAAAAGAGAGAAAAGACTTTATTTCTTCTTAAGGGTTACAGCCTGCAAGGTGGCCAGACTACAGGCTGGGAAGCCTTCCTCTGGCCACATCCAGAGACAGGCACTTTGAAGGAGGAGGGGTTGAGGTAGAAGCTTTATGCTGAATGAGTTGACCAAACATACATATTCAACAGGTTACTGAAGGAGCTATGAATATTCAGGAAGGGGTCCTGACACATGCACATTGAACAAACGTGCATGTTACATGTTCACTTTGAAGTAGAGACTTAACATTTGCATGTATTACAACTAGGCTCTATACGTCAAATGGTCACTTTAGGACATGAGAGCACAGAAGTGCACAATCTCTGTAAAAGGGCTAGAATGAGTCCATGGTTGGTCTTATCAGGAGAAAGTTACTAAAATCAGTCTCACGTTCAGTCAAAGCTATAGTTACAGTTAGTGGAACAGGGGTACAGTTTGTCAGCATCTAGTGGAGCTGCAAATTGTTTGAATATTTCTTATCTCGGGGCAGTGCTTGTTTAGCTGCTAGAGAAAAAGGAAAACCTTGTGGCAGTTAAAACATAGTTTCTTCTTTAAATGAAAGGAAGCGTGACTTAAACCTTCCTTGGCATGGACTTAGATCCTGCTTATAATTTGGTATCTTATTGCCACAAAGAGCCTATTCTATCAGTCTTATGATCTCTACTTTAACTTTAATGCTGGTCAGTTGTGTCTAAACCACACAAAAGAGGAGGGTATAATGAGTCGTGTCTGAGCTCTCATTCTGTCAGGGCTGGGAACTCAGTTTTTAAGTTTTTTCTGGTATCACTTTTGCCACAAGGGGTCTGTTTAGTTGGCCAGGGTTGGGTTGGGGATTGGATTTTATTTCTAGTTTATGTTACATAACATGTAATGAACATCTATATACTTATCGTTTAGATTTTATAATTGTTCACATTTTGTCATATTTAACTCCCCGCCTTTCTCTCTGCTGAAGTATTTTAAATTAAATTATAGACATCATGGCATACCATCTTTGAATATTTCAGTACCCATCTCTAAAAAGTAAGAACACTTTCCTGCAGAACTACAATATCATTATCACACATAACAAAATTTAAAATATCACAGAGATTTTTCAGTGTATGCCCTTTTGTACCTCTTATATTTTGAATCCTTGGCTATGTAACTTATTCAATAAGCAATAAAATTTAAAATTAAAAATAAGCTGAATAAGACCTTTAATACTTAAAATTGCCAGAAAGCTATGGGAGCTGCTCCAGGCATCATTAAGGGACAGGAAAGGATTTACAAGAACAAGTTGAACTGTCTCAAAAAAAAAAAAAAAAAAAAAGGAAAAGACCAAATCATTTTATTTTAATACCCACCTAAGTTGAGGCTGGTGTAAGTGGGGCTTTCAACAAGTCAGTACTGACAGAGCATGGTAGGGATGAAAAGCCAATCCAAATCCCAAAATGTCTACTGCTTTGAAGAAAAGTTTTGTCCTCTCCATCATGGAAAGAGTTGAATGTAATCAATTTACCATCAGGTGGCTGGCTGTTTCCACTGTGATATTACATCATTTCTAGGGATTAGGATTGGTTTTGGCTCTTGCAAATTGGATTTCAACAGAAAAGCTTTTGTCTTGTTTTCTGAGCCTATGTACAGCCTTCATCATGGCAGCCATGGTCACTATGTTCAAAAGTTTCTTGAGCAAATGCTGAGATAGCTGAAAAAAGAGTTGCTGATACCCATAGAGCAGATTGTTAAGCAACAAAACTTGGGTCTGCTTCTCCAGTGCAGCAAAGTCAAACATTGACACTAGGATTTGCAGTGAGAGAAAGTAAGGCATTTATTGTAGAGCACCAAGCAAGGTTATTGGGCCACTAACACTTAAGATCTGAACTCTTTGTAAGATGGCTTACAAGCAAGAGTTTTTAAGGCATGGATGAGGGGGTTCTCCAATGTGAGCTAAAGGCTGGAAAATTTCTAGAACTTGCTTATCCATCTTCTGATTCCTGTCTGTCAAGGTCTATATGACAGTGATCAACATTTTCCATCTGGTGGGGGTCCTGGTTTCTGAAAAACAACTCAACTCAAGGACATATGTCAAATGTTATCTTTAGTTTCTATAAGGAAACAAACATCTCATGACTCTGACTCACTTGGGTGACTATTGTTTATGCTATTATTATCATCTTTTTTTTTTTTTTTTTTTTTTTTTTTTTTTTTTTTTTTGAGACGGAGTCTCGCTCTGTCGCCCAGGTCGGACTGCGGACTGCAGTGGCGCAATCTCGGCTCACTGCAAGCTCCGCTTCCCGGGTTCACGCCATTCTCCTGCCTCAGCCTCCCGAGTAGCTGGGACTACAGGCGCCCGCCACCGCGCCCGGCTAATTTTTTGTATTTTTAGTAGAGACGGGGTTTCACCTTGTTAGCCAGGATGGTCTCGATCTCCTGACCTCATGATCCACCCGCCTCGGCCTCCCAAAGTGCTGGGATTACAGGCGTGAGCCACCGCGCCCGGCCTATTATCATCTTGCTTAGCAGGTTATTAATTTATTTCCCTAGTTGCTGGTTGCAGGGTGCCTGGAATTTCCCTTGAAGGGACTCACAATTTTTCCTTTATTTTCATGCTTAAGGAGGGATCCCAGTAGGCTATGAAGAGGAGGAGTCCATGTTCTGTTTCACCATCATCTTGTTCACTTGCTTACTGAAACCCTCTGACACAGTGGGTTAATGAAGATTCATACAGGACACAAATATTTGTACATTTGATATCCATTCTAAGAGATCTATCCACATACGAGCTAGTTCCATCAATAATCTCTTTGTCACCAATCCTCCAAGTCCTTCCTTCCTTCCTTTTTCCCTGTCTCCCTCTTTTCCTTTCTTTCTCTCTCTTTCTTTCTTTTCTTTCCTTCTTTCTTTCTTTTTTCTTTCTTTCATTCTTTCTCTTTCTTTCCTTCCTTCCTTCCTTCTTGCTTGCTTTGTCTTTCTTTCTTTCTTTCTGTCTTCTTTCTTTTTGTTTTATTTCATCTTAATTTTTTTAGCTTATGGCATAACCCACAGCCGAGTTAGTATCCCAATATGCCTGCTTCTAGATTCAGGTAATCCTTAACCTTTTTGGTTGATTTTGCAGTCAGTATTTCTTGTCTTTGAGTTGGTGTGGCATTTTCAATATTCAGTACGGATTCCCAGTTATATGTTAAAAATAATCCCTTCTGTCCCAGGATACTCATCAAAGTACTGCTATAGTGGAATCTTCCCGGAAACAGACAAATGAAAGCCAGTCTCTCTCAGGGCTAACCATTGTGAAGTCCAACGTGCTGCCCACTTGACTCTGGGCTGGAGCCTGCCTGAGCCCTATAGTTGACCCACTTAGCAAGCACATATAAACCAGTGAGAGACCCTAACCAACTGCCAGTGAGACATTTAAGAAGTTTCATACAAATATTAAATTGCATTTACTTGTCACAGATGGTCATACAAAATGGAAAAGAATAACATATTTAAACAGTCTATTCAAGTCCAAGAGAAATTGAGCATTTACTCTCATTTCATAGTTTGTTAGGAAAGTTTGTAATGAGGGATTTGCAAGTGAACATGGTATGGTGGAAAAAGTGATGAGGATTTTTGAGCAAATTTTCTGCATGTTAGTGCTCTTATTGATTATATACTTATTGGATATTTGAAAGAAAAAGAAGTAAAGCATAAAGCTTGGGTTTATTTAATGCCCTCAGAAGGCTAGGTTGAGGAAAATAATAAAGAAATTTTCCGAGCTACTACCGTTTTGGAGTTAAAACAGATCATGGAGCCTCCATTAACACACAAGATACTTTCTTACTGCTTTAATAAAATAAATGATAAGATTCTGTTAAAACAAACAGAATATAGTTTAATCTACGTGACACCATCATTCTGGTTGGCATAGTAAAACTGATGAATGACTAACAGTACCTACAATTACGCTCTTTTGTACCAATAAAATTTATTTAAGGCTGGGCATGGTGGCTCATGCCTGTACCAGCACTTTGCCAGGCGGAGGTGGGAGGATCACTTGAGGTCAGGAGTTAGAGACCAGCCTGGCCAACAAAGCGAGACCCTGGTCTCTACCCCCCTCCCCCAAAAAAAATGCTGGGCATGGTGGTATGTGACTGTAGTCCCAGCTACTCAGGAGGCTGAGGCAGGATTGCTTGAGCCAGGAGTTGCAGTCTGCAGTGAGCTATGATGGTGCCACTGCACTCCAGCCTGGGTGACAAATTTATTTAATTGGTTTTGGTTTGATTTTGTATTATTATTACTAAAACTCCAGAAAACTTTTACAGCAAAAAAAAAAAACAACAAAAAACAAAAACAAGAAAGAAAGAAAAGGAAAGGAGGATGGGAGAAAGGCAGGAAGGGAGGGAGGAAGGTAGGAAAAGAGGAAGGGAGGGAGGAAAGAAGGCAAGCACGCAGGCAGATGCCTAAATAAAGAATACATAGGGGCCTGGACAAATAAATTGCTTTATGGACTGTTATGCACCCATACAATAAGTTAGACTTACATGATGAGTAAAGCTTTTTAGGATACATGAAGTGAAAACGTTAAAATAAGCGGGGGAGAAAAGGCTAAATATAAAATAATGCCATTGTGTGTGTGAGAGAGGATCACAATGATATACAAATTCCAGGCTAACGGTGACAGTGGCTGCCTCGGGGAGTGGGACTAAGGAGGGGTAGGTGGGGTTTGACATTTTACTTTATTAATTTTGGTATTGTCTGAGGGTTTTTAAACCATAAATAATGTATTAATTTTAAAAATGCTTTTAAAAATCATCATTTTCAATAGTTAACGGTCTATGCTTCATCAACGTTTTCCGTTTAAAACCTGTGTGCGGCCCACACACGTATGACATTCTGATTATGTGATTCACTGCTGAAAAAGAACTGGACGCCAGGAAATTGGGGGTTGAGTCCGAAGCAAGGTGAACGCCGGACATCGAGACATGGAATCCTAGACCGGCCCGGAAGTGCCTCTGCTCCGTCCGCCTTCGAGGAGAGGTCGGCATCTTTGTTCCCTGCCCGGCCATTGTTCGTGCCGCGCTTCTAGCAACGCCGGGCCGGTAACCCCCTCTCCCTCCTTGCGCGTTCCGGGTCTCGTGAGTTGGCTGTGGGGACCGGGAATGGAGGCGGGTCAGGGAGGGTGGGGCTGGAAAAGGGGTGTGGAAAGTGAACCTCAGCCGCTGGGAAGTGGGAGCCGGAGGAGGGGGCGGCGGTCAGTGCCGGGCGGCTTCGGGCGTCCCCTAGACCAGAGTGGTCATCCCCAGCTGTGGGGACATTGTACAAGAAAGGGTTGTAGGAGGACTGCGAGGCTGAAGGGTCACCTCGGTGAATAACGACAACAGGCTTAGGACTCAGGGAAAGAAACACCCGGGAGAGGAAGTTAAGGACAATTAAGACTTTGGCAGCCTTCACGATGGAGAACCTGTATACCCTCTTACCTCTAGATTCTGAAAGCAAATTAAGGGGCGTTGAATGGACTGGTTTTCAAGCGCAGAATGTAGCAGTTCCCGATTCCCTTTTCCTTAGTTCATTGATTCTCAAACCTTATAATACATACAAATCACTGAGGAGCCCGTTAAAGGGCATATTCTGGGTCTCCCTGTACTTCTCTCCACCTCCCAATTCAGATTCCCCAGATGTCTGCCATAGGGCCTTTCAAGCTGGAATTCAGCTGCTGCGCTGTGCTTCCTGGCATTTTGGAGACACACATTTTGGGAACACCCCCATGGGTTTCAGGTGCTTCCTGCGTCTGTGGAGAAAACTTTTCCCTTGGGCTTCTTTGGCTTCTTAGGATTGTCCTCAAAAAGAAGTTGACCTTGGGCAATCTACTTAACTTTCCCTGGCTTCCATTTCTTATCTAGTGAAATAATTATTATAATAAAACCTCAGTGGGTAATTGTGAGGATGAAATATAGTCTTGTATCTGAAAGCATATTGTAGACTTGTGCAGTGTTGACTGTTATTCTTCAGTAGCAGCAGGGCGGTGTGGAAAGCTCCAGGACTTGGAATCCACCTAAGCCTTTCTTTCTGTAAATTTAGTGAAAATAATACTAACCTTAAATGGTTGTTTTGAAGATTAAGAAAACTGAAGTAAATAGTAAAGTAAATGTTGGTTCGTTCATTTAGTCGACAGTAACAATATTTCCATTTATTCTTTCTCTAAGTTGATGTTTATACAGTGAGTTCAAACTTTTTATTCAGACTTTCTGAGTGATCGGTGCAGTCCCTAATTCATGGGCTGTTTTCCTCCATGAACTCTGTGAAGCATTATTGCTATTTCTTCTTCACATAAAGAAATCAAGATTGAAAGAAGATTTAAAAACTTGGCACAAGGTCACACAACTAGTAAATATTAGGATCAGAATAAAACCTAGGTCTGGGTCAGCTGTGGTGGCTGACGTAATCCCAGCACTTTGGGAAGCCAAGGTGGGAGGATCACTTAAACCCAGGAGTTTGAGGTTGCAGTGAGCTGTGATTATGCCACTGCACTCCAGCCTGGGAAACAGAGTGAAATTCCCCATTTAAAAAAAAAAGAAAGAAAGAAAACCCATATCTGGGTAACTTAAAAGCTTATGCTCTTAGCACATTATGAATATATATATTTCCATTATTTCCATCCTTTGGTCACCAAATCACTTTTCAGAGAAGAGCTTTAGGGCCTATGATAATTGCTTGTATTATCAGTTTCTGTCATCAGCTATTATCATTTTTCTATATAAATAATTTATTTTTACTGCTTAGGCAAGCGCCTCCAAGGTTTGTCTTGAAGCATAGCTCCAGCTGGAGGGTACCTTTTAAGCTGTTCAAGGTCAAGATGAATACAAACTCAAAGGAGGTTTTATCCCTGGGTGTTCAAGTTCCCGAGGCATGGGAAGAACTTCTGACAATGAAAGTGGAAGCAAAAAGTCACCTTCAATGGCAGGAATCCAGACTGAAACGCAGTAATCCACTGGCAAGGGAAATCTTCCGAAGGCACTTTCGACAGCTGTGCTACCAAGAGACCCCTGGACCAAGGGAGGCTCTTACTCGACTCCAGGAACTTTGCTACCAGTGGTTGAGGCCACATGTGAGCACAAAGGAGCAGATTTTGGATCTGCTGGTGCTGGAGCAGTTTCTATCCATTCTGCCCAAGGAGCTCCAGGGCTGGGTGAGGGAACACTGTCCAGAGAGTGGAGAAGAGGCTGTGATTTTGCTGGAGGATCTGGAGAGAGAGCTCGATGAACCACAACATGAGGTAGGAAGGGAGATTTGCTAGAGAAAAATGTGTATTTTGGCATGCCAAGAATCCTTGTCACTTCTGCTTTGTGTCTCCTTGACATTGGTGATAAAATACTCTCTTCCTGTTTCCTTCTTTCTTGGAAGTGTTTATTTCAGACAGTTAATTTCTTCAAAAGTCAAATCTTGTCTTTTTGTCCCCAGATGGTGGCCCACAGACACAGACAAGAAGTCCTCTGTAAAGAGATGGTGCCTCTAGCAGAGCAGACACCACTGACCCTTCAGTCCCAGCCTAAGGAGCCACAGCTCACATGTGACTCTGCTCAGAAGTGCCATTCTATTGGAGAGACAGGTGAGGGACAGCATTTATTTGATGTTGAACGAATCCCACCTGGTCAAGCAAAAACAAACAATAAACCCAGAGCTGGGAAAACAGGAGACCCAAAGACTCCTTACCAGATAGCAGTAATGGTCAGTTCTTCTGAGAGCCTAGTGTGCTCATCTTTGACCCTTCTCCCTGCGTGCAGACTTCTCCCTGAGTACCACCCTGGAAGCTTTCTGGACTTCTGATGCATGGTACATGAGGAAGGCTTTCAGGGATCGCTGTGGAGCACAGCTTCAGAGAATGGACTTCAAGGTTTGACAGACAGGTTCAGATCCTGGCATCGCCTCATGGAAGCTGCTTGTATTGGGCAGATTACTTAACCACTTGACCTCAGATCCCTCATCTACAAAATGGGGTTGATAATAGCTTTGGTTTAGTCTACTTGCGCTGCCTTAAGAGAATACCACAGACTGGTTGTCTTTAACAGAAATTTATTTTCTCACATTTTCAAAGGCTAGTAGTCCAAGATCAAGATACCATCAGGTTTGGTTTCTGGTGAGGCCTCTTCCTGGCTTATAGATGGCCATCTTCTTGCTGTATCCTCACATGGCCTTTCTTCTGTATGCATACAGAGAGAGAGCAAGCTCTCTCATCTTATAAGGACAGATACCATTCCTACCCGATAGGGCCCTTCCTTATAACCTCATTTAACTTTTAATACCTTCCTCAAGGCCCTATCTCCAAATATAATCATATTGAGGGGTTAGGACCTCAGCATATGTGAGGGAATACAATTTAGTCCGTAACCAGTATGTACCTCAGAAAGTCATTGTGAGTATCAAATACAATTTATGAAAAGCACTTGGCATGCATTATGCTTAATACATGGTCACTATTGTCACAAATCACCAGTGCCACCCTTGCTGATTTGGGTTCATACTTGGAGTAGAAAGATATCAGATATGCTTAGTAAGTGGCAGAACTGTATGGGAGAATCCAGTGAAATCAGACTTTGCCATTTCCTTCTCTGTAATCTTCTGAGTGGTGGCAGTGACCACCCTTGTGGATATAGTACTGAGCACTTGGGACTGAGTCAGCTGCTTTCCCATTCTAGCCCTCCCTGCAGGAATTGGCTCTAGCTTGTCTGATTTCCCACACATAAAATCATGCCCTCTTACTGACTTTTTGTTAATGTTCTGACAATCAATCTGTAGCAAGGTTCTACTGTTTTCAGTTTCATATTACCCCTATATGCATCAAAGCTGCAACTTCCCTTGCCTCTTTGTCCCTAGGTTCTGTTTATTTCATTTACCCTAGCAATTATGGATTTCTATTACATGGAACTCATCTCTTGATTTAAATTAAAGTGTATGTGTTGAGTAAATTCTGTGCAGACCTTCTTATAGCTTCTGTGACTTTATCAGATTAAAATTGCTTCTGATATCATTTTCCCTCTTTATGAGCATCTTTCCAGTCAATTTGTTTCTTTCTTCTTCCTCTCTCTATGAACTTGGACCTTTTATTTTCTAGCCACTTCCTTTCTTCTACCTTCCAAACTGCATCTAGAACCCTGCTGAGTATCCCCTTTTCCAAGAAGCACATCTATATTTTCCACCTATCCACTTATCTATCCATCTATCATTCAACAAGTGTTTATTAAGCATCTACTATGGCTGTAGGAGAATATCCAGAGGGCATCTGGAGACTGGAGTGTTCTCCTTGTAGGATATCAGCGCAGGTATGTGTTACAAATTTAGATAAAGCCAATATTATAAAACAACATAGTGTTTGAAATTACAAGGACCAAATTCAAGTTCCAGCTTTTCAAATTCTTAGCCAAGCAATATTTAATAGGTAAGCTTGAGTTTCTTTTTAAGTTATGCTGATTATTTAAAAATCCAAATAATACAAAAGTTTATATAGTAAAAAATGGAAGTTTTCCAAATCCTACTCCCTAGAGGTAGCTACTCTTGTCACTTTGCTGCATATTTTGCAGACGTTTCTCTATATAGTCTGCCTACCCATATATATGTATCTTCCCATATTTTTCTTTTTTTTTTTTTTTGAGACAGAGTCTCGCTCTGTCGCCCAGGCTGGAATGCAGTGGCACGATCTCGGCTCACTGCAAGCTCCGCCTCCCGGGTTCATGCCATTCTTCTGTCTGAGCCTCCCAAGTAGCTGGGACTACAGGCACCCGCCACCATGCCCGGCTAATGTTTTGTATTTTTAATAGAGACAGGGTTTCACTGTGTTAGCCAGGATGGTCTCGATCTCCTGACCTCGTGATTCGCCCGCCTCGGCCTCCCGAAGTGCTGGGATTACAGGCGTGAGTCACAGCGCCTGGCCCATATTTTTCTATAGTTCTTTAAAGAGATGGGATAATAACATCGAGTTTTGTGGTGAGTCAGTTTGATAATATATCTGAAAGTGCTTCATAAGTCATGAAAGTTGTATAAATGGTAATCATTAAAAGGTGGGAAATGTCTGAATTTTTATATTCTACCCAGCTCCCTTATGGATTTCAGATTTAATACGAAGTTTGAGGAGAAGGGCAGTACTGATCCCACTTGGGGCCCATCTGTTCTCTACAGACACATTTTTATTTTCCAAACCTGTTGTGATCCCCCAGCTAAAAGGAGGAGGAGAAACATGGCCTAACAACAGAGGAGTCCTAAGAGGTACCTATTCTTGTATGTGAGAGACAGGACAGTTAGATATGGGAGAAAGAGGCAAATATTTTGGTCAAAAGAGGAGGCCTGGGTCTGTTGTCCTCGGCCTTTTTCTGGGTTGCAAAGTGAAATCAGACTATGTGCCAGGCATGTTTCTCAGGAATAAAACAGAAGGTTCCTCCTCTCGTAGAGATTAGATTGTAGCAAGAGGGAGATAATAATAAATATAAAAGTAAAGAAATGATACAGTGTGTTAAAAGGTGATGAGGCTATGGAATAAGGCAAAAATAGAACAGGATAAGGGAGATTAAGAGTGCTACGGATGAGGCAAACAGATTGTGATATTAAATAGAAGAATTAAGATAGACCTCATTGAGAAGGTGAGTTGAACAAAGACTTAAAGGAAGCGAGAGAGTGGGCCTTGCTTTCATTTGAGGTGAGAAGTTTCCAGGAAGAGAGAAGCACTAGAGCAAAGGTCTTATGATGGGAATGCACCTTGGATAATTGTGGATTTGAAATTCATAAAGTATAGTAGTCCTCACTATTCAAGGGGGATACATTCCAAGACCCCCAGTAGATGCCTGAAACCAAGGGTAATACTGAACCCTGTATATACTATTTTTTTCCTATACATACCTAAGATAAAGTTTAATTTATAAATTAGGCATAGTAAGAGATTAACAACAATAACTAATAATAAAATGGAACAATTACAATTATAATAATATGCCAGCCTCACTACTTTTGCACTTTGGGGCCATTATTAAGTAAAATAAGGGGTATGTAAACACAAGCACTGAGACACTGCAACAGTCAATCTCATAACCAAGATGGCTACTATGTGTGCAACAGGCAGGCAGCATGTACAGTGTGGATATGCTGGACAAAAGGAAGACTCATGTCCTGGGTGAGACAGAGCCAGATGGCATGAGATTTCATCATACTACTCAGAATGGTGCCAAATTTAAAACTTAAGAATTGTTTGTGCTGGGCGTGGTGGCTCACGCCTGTAATCCCAGCACTTTGGGAGGCCAAGGCGGATGGATCATGAGGCCAGGAGTTTGAGACCAGCCTGGCCAGCATGACGAAATCTCATCTCTACTAAAAATACAAACAAACAAAAAATTAGCCAGGCATGGTGATGTGTGCCTGTAGTCCCAGCTACTCGGGAGGCTGAGGCAGGAGAATCGCTTGAATCCGGGAAGCGGAGATTACAGTGAGCCAAGGGGCAACAGAGTGAGACTCCGTCTCAAAAAAAAAAAAAAAAAATTGTTTGCCTCTGGAATCTTCCATGTAGTATATTTGAACTGTGATTGACTGTGGGTAGCTGAAACTTTGTAAAGGCAAAACCACAGATAAGTGGGGACTACTGGACTGCCTGAAGCACCTAAGTAGTAGAAGTTTAATACTTGTTCTGAAAATGAATGAATGAATACATGAAGTAACTTTCCTTGGAAAGGGTCACTTTGAGGTTATCTCAGAAAGGAGAGAGAGGTGTAAGGGAATACTCCAGAGAAGCCACCCTAATCTTTAACCATCCCTCCCTATGAAGTATAAAAAAGGTACTGCCAGCTGGGTGCAGTGGCTCACACCTGTAATCGCAGCATTTTGGGAGGCCGAGGTGGGTGGATCACCTGAGGTCAGGAGTTCAAGACCAGGATGGCCAACATGGCGAAACCGCGTCTGTACTAAAAATACAAAATTAGTTGGGCGTGGGGGTGCGTGCCTGTAGTTTCAACTACTTGGGAGACTGAGGCAGGAGAATCGCTTGAACCTGGGAAATGGAGGCTGCAGTGAGCTGAGATCACACCATTGCACTCCAGCCTGGGCTACAGAGTGACACTCTGGCTCAAAAAACAAAACAAAAAACAACGACTCAGGCCAAGTCTACATGGGGATGGACTGACCTGCATTATGCCAAAGAGGGCAAACGTTCCTCCCTACGTAGGGGAAAGTGTTACCACACTAGCCCTTCTGTTTCTAGCCCACTTCCTTTTCTATGATATATTTTTATAGACATAGTCACCTTCCCATAGGCTCAGGGAACAAGTGACATTTACCTAGCCTTTTTCTTTGTTTCAGATGAAGTAACCAAGACTGAGGACAGAGAGTTGGTGCTAAGGAAAGACTGTCCTAAGATAGTGGAACCACATGGGAAAATGTTTAATGAGCAGACCTGGGAGGTATCACAGCAGGATCCCTCACATGGAGAAGTTGGTGAACATAAGGATAGGATAGAGAGGCAGTGGGGAAACCTCTTAGGAGAGGGGCAACACAAATGTGATGAATGTGGGAAGAGCTTTACTCAGAGCTCAGGTCTCATTCGACATCAAAGAATTCATACTGGAGAAAGACCTTATGAATGTAATGAATGTGGGAAAGCCTTCAGTCGAAGTTCTGGTCTTTTTAATCACCGAGGAATCCACAATATACAGAAACGGTACCACTGCAAGGAGTGTGGGAAGGTCTTCAGTCAGAGTGCGGGTCTTATCCAGCATCAGAGAATCCACAAAGGAGAAAAGCCGTATCAGTGCAGCCAGTGCAGTAAGAGCTACAGTCGGCGTTCATTTCTCATTGAACATCAGAGAAGCCACACAGGGGAGCGACCTCACCAGTGCATTGAATGTGGGAAAAGCTTTAATCGACACTGCAACCTCATTCGCCATCAGAAGATCCACACAGTGGCTGAGCTGGTCTAGGGCTTGGCTATGAGCAAGTTTTCCAGATCACCACCCAAGTTGTGTGGGGCAGGTTGAGACTAGAAAATGCCTCTTTCTTCCTTTCTCCATGAAATGTGTTTGAAACAAATCCTGACTTAAGGCCCAGGGACTTCCTTAAAGGAAAGTTGGGTGTTTGAAGCTACTGTTTTCTCTTTTGTTCATTTTACCTCTTTCTTACTCTTACTAGCTGTGTCCCTCTTATTTATAATTTATTTATTTTTTTGAGATGGCTGCTAAACCCTTCTAATAATATAATAAATGGCACTGCCACAGCCAACATGCCTGAAAGATTTGGTATCTGTGTTTAACTACAAAGGATAACAGAGTTCTACTGATGGTTTATAACAATTGGGTCTTTGGTGTTCCCTGTGACCAGGGTCTACACTATAAACACCTTTTCTACCTTACTGCTTCTCTCTGACACCTACGTGACTCTCCCTTGGAAAGTGACCAGCATTGGCTGTGTGTTTCAGTGTCTGCAGTGTGTGTCCGCTTACTTAACCATAGTTGGTCCTCACAACAGCCACACAGGGAAATGAGCGTTATCATTATCGCATTTTACAGATGAGGACTCCAAGGCTTAGAAAATCCAAGCATCAGAGCCAAGGCTGAAACCCTGAACTTTTATTTTTAGTAATGCTTTAATTTTGGAATAATATTTGACTTACAGAAATGTTGCAGAGATGGAGTTCTCATATTCCCTTCACCTAGATTCTCCTAATGTTAACTTGTAACATCACACCTTTTTAGTTAAACCTTGGCTTTTAACTCCAAATCTCAATTTCTTTATGATGTCAAGCTTTGTACTGATACCAGATTTCTACATTTTAGTCACCTGGAACTCCCTTAGAGTTTTTCTATCACATCTTCAGTGTTAGAAAGTCATCTGTATCCTGAGTACCAGGCCACATCAGAGAACTGGATTAATCCAGGTAAGATGCTAGCTACTGTCTGAAATGTCCTCAGTCTTTCTCTTCTGTTTGCTTGGCTTAGGTCTAGAGAAAAAAATTTCTTCCCTGTGTAGATCTTTAAGAAAATCAATTGTACGCCAGGTGTGGTGGTACAAGCCTGTAATCCCAGAGCTTTTGGAGGCCAAGGCCACAGTATTGCTTGAGGCCAGGAGTTCGAGACCAGTCTGTGCAACATAGTGAGACCCTGTTGCTACAAAGAAAAAATTTTAAAATTAGCTGCGTGTGGTGGTGTGTGCCTGTAGTCCCCAGATAGGAGGTTGAGGTGAGAGGATCACTTAAACCCAGGAGTTTGAGATGCAGTGATCATGCCACTGCACTCCAGCCTGGCCACAGAGAGAGACCCCGTCTCAAAACAAAACAAAACAAACCCAGAAACGTTGTCTCAAAAAAAAAAAAATCAATTATGCTGCCTCCATCAAAAAATTTAAAAAGGAAGAAAATTTTTTTAAAAACTGGAGAAGACTTACGTCGCCTTAAGTGTTCTGCCCCAGAGGAAGCTCTTTCTCAGTGAAGTTTACTCATGGAGAGGAGGAATCTCCCTTTCTTAGGACTAAAGACTTGAGGCTTGAGGTTTCCCAAGGCTCTTTGCCTGCCCTCCCTTACTCCCTTTTATGATTACTAAGGCTGCAACCCCATCTCTTCCCTTTATGTATTTGATTTAAATGTTCAGAGGTTTCCTGAGAGATGGAAAAGAAGTGCTGCAATTTGCTCAGGATGAGTCCATACACAGTTGAGTTTTGCACTGTTTTCAGTAACTCCTAAATGTGTTGCAGAGCAGTCAACTCTTGAATTGGGGATTATGTAATTTAACTCTTTTATGTAAGATTCAAACAGAAGTGGAATAGCATAGTGAACCCCATGAACTTGTTGACGAAAAGAGTCAAACTCCATAAAATATTTGAAGAGACTTACTCTGAGCCAAATACAATTGACCATGGCCTATGACACAGCCCTCAAGGGGGTCCTGAGAACATGTGACCAAGGTGGTCAGGGTACAGCTTGGTTTTATATATTTTAGGGAGGCATGAAACATCAACCAAATACATTTAAGAAATAGATTGGTTTGGTTCAGAAAGGCGGGACAAATCAAAGCGTGGGCTTCCAAGCTGTAGGTAGATTTAAACATTTTCTGCTTGACAATTGGTTGAGTTTATCTGAAGACCTGGGATTAATGGAAAGGAATGTTTAGGCTAAGGTAAAGGATTGTGGAGATCAAGTTTTATTGTGCAGAGGAATCTCTCAGGTAGCAGACTTCAGAGAGAGAGCAGATTGTAAAATGTTTCTTTTTTCTTGTTTCTCCACTGAATGAGTGGCCAAGGAAGTTGGATTTTAAGTCAAAACCCTTAGCAACACTTTCCCATCAGAGGGAAAATAAGTTACCTAATACGTAGCATCACCTAAAAACTCCACAAAATATCAGCTTACCTAAGACACCCATTTCTTTTTTTGCATCAGGAAAAAGTTCTACACATTGTAGGGAAGCCTAAGAAGAATTTTCGTGTCATAGTAGGTTTAAATGATAAACTCCAGGATCATCTGACAGAAATGTTAAATATAATACCTTCCTATACCAAACAAATGGTATGGGAATTACCTATTACTGATGACATTAATCGTCTTGAGTGAGTGAAAATTCAAAAATTTAAATATTAAAGTAGCCTCTTCTCTTTTTTTTGTTATGTCTCAATACCACATGGTATAGTTAAAAAACAGGAGTGGACCAGGAGTCAGGACCCCTGAGATGGAGTCCATGCCTAATCAATTCTAGAGTTTGGACCTTGGATAAGTCACTTGGGTTGGGTTTCCTAGAAGCGGAGCCTAGGCATGGATTCAAGTCTAGGGAATTTATTGAGGCAAAATAAGCTGCAGGAAAAAAGCTGCAAGGCAGAGAGGGAAGCAAGATATGGAAGAGGAAGTGGGCTGAGCAAGATGTGGTCTGAGCTTAAGTCTAGTTTAGTCTACTTTGGAAGAAGGATCTTTGGAACAAAACTTACCCTTGAGGCAAGGGGCCAGCCTTTTGTACCTCAATCAGTGCCTTGTGGATTGAGGACTTCCCGGAGAGAATAGATTATCTCCCTTTGTCCAAGGACAATTCTTCAGAGAAGGTGATGACTGTGAGCCATTAGCAGCCAGTGCTCATGATAATCAGGGAGTGGGTGCACTGACCTTCCTGGCAACTGGAGAATGGGTGTACTGACTTGGAAAAGGGGACCTGGGCAGGATACCACTGGCATGCATCACCACACGTAACCTCTCAGGCCCCAGTTTCTTCACCTATCCTCCTATTTGCAGGATTGTTTTTGAAAAACAGCAGATAGCAATTACAGTCCTATAAATGACAGGGATACATCCTGAGAAATGTGCTGTTGTATGATTTTGTCACTGTACAAGCATCATAGAATATACTTACACAACATAGATGGTATACCCTACTATGAACCTAGGGTAGATGGTATAGTCTGTTGCCCCTAGGCTGCAAACCTATACAGCATGCTACTGTGTTGAATACAGCAGACATTTGTAGCACAATGCTGTATTTGTGTATCTAAACATAGAAAAATCTAGTAAAAATGCAGTGTGAAAGATAAAAAAAAATGGTATACCTGTATAGACACTATGAATGCAGTTTTTAGGACTGGAAGTTGGTCAGGGTGTCAGTGAGTGAAGAGTGAATGTGAAGACCGTACACTGCTGTAGACTTTATAAACATTGTACACTTTGACTACACCAAATTTATTTTTAAAATATTTGTTGACACCATCACTACAAACACATGAATAATGCATTGCACTAAGCTGTTAAGATAGCTACAATGTCACTAGGTGACTGAAACATGTAGCACATGACTATATGAAAGGACAATGCAATCTATAAAATGCTGCATCAAACAAATAGAAAGAGATATTACCAAATTTGCATATAATATGCCAAGGCAAAAGGAGTATCTGACATACTGGTGAGAGAGTTTTAAGTTGGAGTTTTTGTGAGACTTTTTCTTTTGCCTCATTTTTTTTTAAAGTGTATTACAGACTGTACTCACATGGGTTTTAAAAGTAAATTAATATTAAAAAGTAAAGGTTTCTGTATTGAATGAAATTCTCCATTTTCATATATGTCTATACCCTAACTAATCATTTAATCATATGTAAATTCCATTTGTTCTGCAATAGTCTCAACTAATCCATCTAAATGTTCTTCGATCCTAACTTCTTTCCTTCCCTGCTCTTCCCACCCCACTCACTACCTCTGTTCTGCTCTCAAAACATCTTCCTCAATTGTTTCTTTAGCTCTGTTTGAGAACTAACATTGAATTTTAAAAATAATATTGTTATGAATAAGGAGGGTTTTATTTCTTCCCTTTCTTATTTCCCTTTCTTGTCTTGATGCAGTGGCCAATCTCTCCTGGACAATGTTAGGTAGAAATCATACTAATAGTCATCTTATTCCTGATTTTGAATGGATTCATCTAATGATTCATATCATATTTGTTGTGAGTTTCTGATCATTATCCTCCATAATATTAAGAACATTCCCATTTAGTCCTCATTTACTAAAAGTCTTTGTCACAAATGAGTATTGAATTTTATCAAATAATGTTTCTGCTTATGTTAAAATGATGATATAGTGTTTCCTCCTTTGATCTTAATGTGGTGAATTAACAGATTTTCTGTTGTTAAAATATCAGTTTTTTGAGTTTGTTAACTGTATTCAAATTTTCCTATAGCCGAAGTTTTTGTTTGCCCTCTGATTTTTTTTTTTTTTTTTTTAAGGCAGAATCTCGCTCTGTCACCCAGGCTGAAATGCAGTGGCACGATCTCAGCTCACTACAACCTCAGCCTCCTGAGTGGCTGGGATTACAGGCTTATGCCACCATGCCCGGCTAATTTTTGTATTTTTAGTAGAATTGGGGTTTCGTCATGTTGGCCAGGTTGGTCTTGAACTCCTGGCCTCAAGTGATCCACCTGCCTTGGCCTCCCAAAGTGCTGGGATTACAGGTGTGAGCCACCCCACCTGGCCTGATCTATTGATTATTGGGAGAGGTTTGTTAATACTTTGCTGTGGGGAAAAGACTTGTCAGTTTCTCCTTGTATTATGTCAATTTTGCTTTGCATATTCTAAGGTTATGAGTTGAGGTATATAGAAGTTCAGGAATTGCATGTCTTCTTGAGGAATTATTCCTTTAATCATGATGTTTTTTATCGCTAACAATGCTTATGTGGTCTGATATTAATGTAACTAGGCCAAAATCTTTTAGAGATTATTAGCTTAGTATCTCTTTCTCACCCCTTTGCATTTTAAAAAATGATTTCCTTTGGATATCAAGTGCACAGAATTGTATTATTTATATTCCTTTATGTGATCCATAACACGCTAATATCATTGGTCCATGTATTAGTCTATTCTCTCATTGCTCTAAAGAAGTACCTGAGACTAGGTAATTTATAAAGAAAAGAGGTTTAATTGCCTTATGGTTCTGTATCCTATACAGGAAGCATGATGCCGGCTCTGCTTGGCTTCTGGGGAGGCCTCAGGAAGCTTACAATCTTGGTGAAAGGTGAAAAGGGAGTGGGCATGTCACATAGCCAGAGCAGATGCAAGAAAGAGAGGGGGAAAATGCCACACACTTTTAAACAGCCCAATCTCACAAGAACTCACTATTGCAAGGACAGTACCAAGGGGGATAGTGCTAAACCATTCATGAGAAACCCACCCTCATGATCCAATCACCTCTCACTAGGGCTTGCTTCCGATATTGAGGATTACAATTTGACATGAAATTTCATGGGGACACAGATCCAAACGATGTCAGCCCACGAATGGCATGCTTTTGATTATTGCTTTCTTAATTTAAGTAGTTATTTTTAATAATTAAATTAGCACTCTTTAACCTGCCATTCAAAACAAAAGACCTTGAAAACCACATATACATCTAATCATTTGGTACTCCTTATTTCAGCTACCTGACTTCTTCCAGTTGCGGGAACATCATCCTGAATCCCAATTTTATCATTTCTTGCTTTCCTTTTTTATATATAATTTTATTTCATATATATGCATTCCTAAGCAGTATGTTTTTTAAATTGATTTTAATATCCTTTTACAATATTTTTATGTCCAAATCTTATAACTGTGAATCCATTTCATCCATAGATATTTGTTATGATTACTGATTTATTTCCACCACCTGATTTTGTCATTCTATTTTTCATGATCTTTCTTTGATTTTTTGTTAGTTCCTGTCTTGTGTTGGCTATATTTTCTTATTTTCCCCCTATTTACATGTTTGAAAACTATACATTTACACATGGGCATAAAATGTCCATATGCCCACCTGGCTTGTGAGATTATGAAACTAATCTCTTTCCTCACCCTTTTCCATATTATACAAAACTTGGAATGCCTCCTATCAACCCTCTCCAATATTACATAACATTATTGATTAATATTTTATTTCTACTTGTTTTTAAGCTTTCTTTCCCCCAAAGTGATCATTGTTATTATCATTGTTGTTATTATTGGATTTTTATCATCAATGATTAACTAGATTTCCATGTATACATTTTAACAAATTGGTTTCACTCACTGGGGCTTTCTGGGAGATTCATTTTTCTTCTCACTGAAGCACATGTTTCAGTGGTTTGTTTAGCAACTGCAGATTCTCTCAGGCTTTGTGTTAACATGTTTTCATTTAACCGTCACCCCTGAATGGTAGTTTCTATGTGTCTGCAGTAAGTTAGAGAGCCCTTATTAACTCAGTCTGCTCAGAAGATTGACAGTTGTATTCTTCAACACTTTAAGTATTTCTTTTTAGACTTTTATTTTAGGTTCAGGGGTACATGCACAGGTTTGTTATATAGGTAAATTGCAACAGAGTGAGACCCCTGCCTCAAAAACAGAAACAAAAAACAAAACACAAAAAAAACGTTGAGGTCAGAGAGGTAATGTGAAGGCAGACTGTGAAGAGCCTTGCCTACTTCTGTAAGGGCTTGGGCTGTTAATTTTGGTGAAAATGGAAACCATTGCAGGGTTTTGAGTGGAAGAATGATGTGTGTGATCCCACTTAGATTATGCAGGAATTTAAAAAGGGTTACTCTGACTGATATATTGAGAAGAAACTGTAAGGGGACTCATTTGTAGGCTTCCATAGTGATAATCATGGGAGAGCAAGAGTGGCTCAGATCAGGATGGTAGCAGTGGAGGTGGTGAGAAATGATCAGCTTCTGAATCTACCTTAAAAGTAAACTACAAATCAAAACCTAGCAGGTAAAAATAGAGAGTAGCTCTCAAGCTTTTCCAGGGCAAAGACAACATCTTGTTCATCTTTATTTCCTTAGTGCCTGAGCATAGACATGACATAAGCAATTGGGGGTTGTTGAATGAATGGTTAGGAATACATAACTTGTTTAGAAATAGGGAAAGCCTAGTATTTCTGGAAGCAGATATGCACATACTTTGGCTGTCAAGGCATCTTGATTTACTTAAACAGTACAAAAGAAAAAGTTGAGTCAGCCAATTTCCACATTCACTGATCTAAGAGGAACTCTTTTAGGTGCTGAGGTTACAGTGAAAAGCCAGTCATATATCTTGTCTATCTCTTGTATCCCTCATATATCTCAGCCCCGCAGCAGGCCTTGTATACCCTGTGCTCTAAGTGTGTCTGTAAGGCTACAAACTCCATTTCCCAAGCTCCCAATGCTTATGGGCAGAACTGGTGGGAGAGAAAAAAGGGAGAAAATTGTTAAAGGTTTTAATGCTTTAGTTAATACCTGAAATGATAGTTATTTTCTGACAGTTTGGAAATTATGCAATCCATTATCTATTTAAGAATTCACTCAGAGGAAAGGAATAATCATATGGTTTATTACTTGTTTACAAATACGTTACATTAGGATTGCTTTCCTAGATCCCTGAAAACCTTGAAGTACCAACCTTAGAAATGGCAGTAAAAACAGGAATTTGAAAAAATGTGCAGAGGATTTTGGGTAATATTCCAATTCAACAAAATACATAAAGCAGGCAGGAATATACCCCAATGTTCAACCATTAATTGGGAAAGGAGTCCAGGAAATCTTGCTGCATTCAAATCCAGGGTCATAGGTTGACATTGTAAATAGAAGGGGACTGCAAATGCCAGAAACCAAGTAAGAAATCTGAGTAAATACAACAATGAAAGGATACTTCTATAATAAGGGAACATGATACATAACAAAAAAGTTCACAAGAAAGTAGTCCTGGAAAGTAGTCATCCCGAAAAATTTCTGTCATAGCAACTCCCTTTAAAATGTACAAAATAGACACTACTTATACAAGGCTGACTGAAAAATAAAGCTTCCTCATTTGAATCTATCAGACCCAATTTTGACTATCATGAGGAAAAACAAAGAATGGACTAAAACAAGTGTTCAGAGAAAAGTAGATAAATTGAATTGAATTAGTGGTTAAAGTTCTTATGAATAATTGAGGAAATGGTACCAGATAGGTTTGGGAAATTATTAGAAGATAAGAAGACCAATACTGTCAAATAGTTACAGGACACTTTTAAAATATAGTCTTTATTATTAAACAATTATAATTCCTTTATTTGGAGGTTTCCATTAACAAAGTGTTAATCTCCATTTCTCTACCAGTTAGCAACATTTTCAGAGTT